>NT_187653.1:0-190869 GCF_000001405.40 Homo sapiens
CTAACCCTAACCCTAACCCTAACCCTAACCCTAACCCTAACCCTAACCCTAACCCTAACCCTAACCCTAACCCTAACCCTAACAACCCTAACCCTAACCCTAACCCTAACCCTAAACCTAACCCTAACCCTAACCCTAACAACCCTAACCCTAACCCTAACCCTAACCCTAACAACCCTAACCCTAACAACCCTAACCCTAACCCTAACCCTAACCCTAACCCTAACCCTAACCCTAACCCAACATTCAAAAGCTGAGCAGGGCTTTAAAGCTATCTTATTAATAATTATTTCTGTATTGCGAACTTCAGCATACTTTTTTCTAGTTACATTTGAAATGTTATTCTTTTGGGATGTGCTCAAGTGAGTACTGCTTTTTCCTCTGCCTTGCTTCATTACTTTTTAGTTTCCTTCATTTGAATCATCATTGTAAGTCTCCCCTTCTCCTCAAATAACTTTCAAATTGCTGCCAAGAACTACGTTCTATCTTAAGGCTTTTGAGAAAAAACTTTCAATGAAGATAGCCGCCTAAAGTTATACAAATATAGAAGAAACGGGATAAAATAAAGCTTAGATTGGAAAAAATATTTAAGATTCTACAAAATTCACGCGTAAACAAGGGAAGCTGAGTAATTGTATGTTCAAATACTTTTAACAAGTGCAAAACATGTAGGCTTAAAGAAATAGAGCTGGCCAGGCATGGTGGTTCACGCCTGTAATTCCAACAGTTTGGGAGGCCAAGGCAGGCAGATAACTTGAGGTCAGGAATTCGAGACCAGCCTGGCCAACAGAGTGAAACCCTCTCTCTACTAAAAATACAAAAATTAGGCCAGGAGTGATGGCTCACGCCTGTGATCCCAGCACTTTGAGAGGCCGAGGCGGGTAGATCACCTGAGGTCAGGAGTTTGAGACCAGCCTAACCAACATAGGGAAACCCCGTCTCTACTAAAACTACAACATTAGCCGGGTGTGGTGGCACATGCCTGTAATCCCAGCTACTCGGGAGGCTGAGGCAGGAGAATCCCTTGAACCCAAAAGGCAAAGATTGTGGTGAGCCGAGATTGTGCCATTGCACTCCAGCCTGGGCAAAAACAGCGAAACTCCGTCTCAAAAAAAAAAAAAAGAAAAAATTAGCCAGGCATGGTGAAGTTGCAGTGAGCTGAGACTGCACCATTGCACTCCAGCCTGGGTAGCAGAGCAAGACCCTGTCTCAAAAAAAAAAAAAAAAAAAGAGAGAGAGAGAAAGAAAGAAAGAGGGCTACATTATTTATGAAACAGATACTGTTAACTCAGTCACCAGAAAGCCTGTGTATAAATGAGCAGTGAGATATTCAAGCACAGCACACACACACTTCTCAGGACAGCTGTCGTGAGTGTTCCATGCTCGTTTCCTTCTGGATACATCAGCAACTCACTCTGCTATGATCCTGCAATACATCTCATGTTAGAATTAGAGACATCTGGGCCAGGCACAGTGGCTGACGCCTGTAATCCTAACACTTTGGGAAGCCGAGGCAGGCAGATCACCTAAGGTCAGGAGTTCGAGACCAGCCTGGCCAACATGGTGAAATGCTGTCTCTACCAAAAATACAAAAAATTAGCTGGGCATGGTGGCGCGCGCCTGTAATCCCAGCTACTCGGGAGCCTGAGGCAGGAGAATCGCTTGAACCCGGGAGGTGGAGGTTGCAGTGAGCCGAGATCGTGCCACTGCACTCCAGCATGGGGGACGGAGCAAGGCTCTGTCAAAAAAAAAAAACAGAAAAAGAAAAAGAAAAAAGAATTAGAGACATCTGGATCAAATCAGCTGCCAGTCTCGCAAAGTGTCGGGTAACATCCTATTAAGCTTGCTGCTTACACATCATCTATAAAATACTGAAAATATCATTTTAAGAAATCTTTTTTTTATTTTGAGACAGAGTTTTGCTCGTTGCCCAGGCTGGAGTGCAATGGTGCGATCTCAGCTCACTGCAATCTCTGCCCCCTGGGTTCAAGCAATTCTCCTTCCTCAGCCTCCTGAGTAGCTGGGATTACAGGCATGCACCACCACGCCTGGCTAATTTTGTATTTTCAGTTGAGACAGGGTTTCTCCATATTGGTCAGGCTGGTCTCGAACTCCTGACCTCAGGTGATCCACTGACCTTGGCCTCCCAAAGTGCTGGGATTACAGGTGTGAGCCACCATGCCTAGCCAAGAAACCCTTATTTTAAAACAAGCCAGGCGCGGTGGCTCATGCCTATAATCCCAGCACTTTGGGAAGCCAAGGCAGGTGGATCACTTGACGTCAGTAGTTTGAGACCAGCCCAGGCAACATGTTGTAACCCCATCTCTACTAAAAATATATTTTAAAAATTAGCTGGGCATGTTGGTGGGCACCTGTAATCCCAGCTTCTCAGGAGGCTGAGGCAGGAGAACCACTTGAACCTGGGAGGTGGAGGTTGCAGTGAGCGGAGATCACGCCACTGCACTCTAGCCTGGGTGACAATAGAAAGACTCCATCTCAAAAACAAAACAAAACAAAACAAAACAAAAAACCACTAAAAAAAAGACTCCATTTCAAAAACAAAACTAAAACCAAAAACACAACACAAATGTAGTACACAAATGAAAATAATTACTGTGTTAAACACAGTTTCATAGAAAATAAAAGACCAATCAAATACAATAAGCTGCCTTTTTAGATGGGTATGTTATTCTTCTTTCACAGCTAAAGAAACAGGCTCAGAGAATGTTATTTGATTGGACCGTGTTGCATTTCTGGACAGTGCAGCTGAGATCAGACTTTGCGTGTAACTCCACTAGCCTACCAGGGTGCCTCTCATAAAGGTAAGAAATGTAAATTTGGCCTAATATACAAAGTTGCCAGGGCAGCACTGGGTCAATTCTACATACAGTACTTCTATGTTCATCAAGGGAAACCTTAAGGGAAAGTGAAAATGCTTCTAGAAGGCGACTGGACACCAGCGCCTTTGCTTGTTGCCTTTGGGCTCTTCTTCTAAGGCCAACAGTGACCTGAAATTATTGACTGGCTTTTCCAATCAAGTGGACAAAATGGTACCAAGGTCACCAACATCGATGTAGAACATTGATGTTCTACAACATTGCTTAACGCAAGGGGAGACGCTCCTGACTCAGAGTGTTTAATTGCTCACCTACTTCTTTTTCTGCCCTCTTGGGCTTCTGAAATGAAAAGAACCCTGGGGTGATACAGTGAGTCAAAGGGGTGCCAGCCGCATCACAGCAAAATAGATTCCTAAAAAATCCCTGGCCTAAGATGACAGCCTTGGCTGGATCAGTTTGAATGTGCTGATAGTGGACATGGTAGAATGAAGGTGGTTGAAATGTTCATATTAAAGAACTTCCACCCAGATTGCAAGAAAAGAGAGAAGAATGGAGACGGCAGCACGAGCCCCTACAATAAAAGCAGATGTTTTGAGATCAGTTATATTTCTTCTGACAAAAATTAAAGACAGAAACCAAAGTTTAGCCTGAGACTACAATTAATTGGGCAATAAGCCAGAGGCACATATGGCATAAGACAGATTTAAACATTTCTCCCTGATATTAATACAAACACTAAAATTACAAATACTTTGATTCCAAATAAAACAAATATTTAAAAAATTTAATGAATAAACACTGGGGTCTACAGTAGTATTTGAAGATCTCACAAACAGGTTTGGTTTTTGAAGGTTAGAACTGGTGGTCTAGAGAATTCATTTCATTCCAGAGAAAGAAAGAGAGGAATTTCTTGGGTTCCTTCAGGAATGCGTCTAGCTTTGCCTCATCTTTGTTTGAACTATGGATACGGCAGAAGAAAACATGAGGATTTCACAGATTTAAGGTGCAAAAAGTCACTGGGTTCTCTAAGAAGTCTGGGATTCTTCTGCTGGAAAAATAAGTTTGTTGAGAAAAAATGAGTTGGAGGAGGCTGTTATTGAAGTGAAGCAGAATTGTTTTTACTAGTCTGCTTATTACCCACTCTGTAGTGTGGAAACAAATTATTCATGCACAAGGTCCTCTTACTGTTCCTAGAATGCAGTGGAAAGAGAACAGATTAGTTTTCCTCCCTCAGAACACAACCCCTAGAAACATCCTACCTCAGATGAGATATTGCCTAATTATTTTCAAAAGACAGTGAAACATCATGGATGTAAATGTTTGCTACAAAATAAATACATGCTAGAAACAGAAGCATCTGGGTCACAGCTATATTAGAGCTACCTGTGTTCCCCTGTCACTGACATTAAAACAAAAATGTCCAATACAATCATTCACAGCGTGGGAGAGGGGAAGTTGAAGGATGGAAAGGCCAGGCATAAAAGGATTTCAGAATTTCCGTCCATAAGGAAGTGGCTTTGTGCACTGTCTGTTACTGCGTGCAAGGTGAAATTTGAAGAATGAAAACGTGCAGTAACAAGGGCTCCTTTGTCCAACTCACCTCTCCAGATACCAACTTTCAGACATGTTGCATTTTAATTGAAAGGTTGATATAATTTTTTTTAAAGAACACTTGCGGTGTTTGAAGTGACAAAGGCTGCTGTGACAAAAAAGCAGGGAAAGGGAATTTTTTTTTAAAAGCAAACAACAACAACAGAAACCCCACAGAAAAGCAAACAACAAACAAACAAAAAACAGAGGAAGTAGTCGAACACCCTGGGCTGTGACTACTTCCAGGAAGGGGCTACAAGAGGCAGTTGGAAATTCTATTTGTTTTGCAACTGTGGGTTTTCCGGCCTGCTTCCTTTCTAAAGCATATTACTCTGCTTTTGGTTCATGAAGTTATCCATTTCTGTTTTCTGGAACAGCTATGTATTTTCTTTATCTATCATCTATCTATCTATTTACCATCTATCTTTTCTACCTTTCGCTATCAAGAGCTTGGGTCAAGCAGGATAGAATTCCAGTGTATGTTCACTCTACCATTTAAAACAAGAGCTCTTGTAGGCATTCTCCATCACATCATAAACCTGAGCTTTCTAAAACAGGGTGTGGCAAACTACCATGCATGGACCATGTCTGACACAGTCTGCATTTGTAAGTAAAGTTGTAATGGGACACAGCCAATACATGTGTTACATAATGTCTCTGGCTACTTTCATGGTATAATGGAAGAGCTGAGTCATTGAGAGAGAGACCATATGGCTTGGAAAACTTAAAATATTTAACATTTAGCCCCCTGCAGAAAATACTTGCTGACTCTTGTTTTAAAAGATCTCTGTTTAGAATGCTACCTATTGCGTTCTGGATAGAATCACAACTCTTTACCACAATCGACACAGCTTCAGCCCTGCTTCTATATCCAGCCTCATCTATTTCTGCTCCTCCTCCTTATTTTCCTTCTGGCCATGCTGATGGATTGTCAGCTTCCCAGATGTGCAAGAATCTCTCCTCCCTTCCCAACATTCTCATGCTCTCCCTCTGCCTCTGAAGAACTTCCTGCCCCATCTCTCATGACAAATCCTTTCTACATTCTTTAAGATGCAGCCCCTTTGCTCCTTCCTTAAGGATGTCTGTCTGGCTCTATTTTGGGTGACGTGCTCCTTCTGCATCTCCCAGAGCCAGCCTGTGTGTGTCAGCTACAACATTTCTTTGCATCTCTGTGTCATATATCACCAAATCTGCCTAAGCTTGCATGAGTCACTGCATGACAACTTCAGACTCCACCAGCATTGTCCCCACTAACCACAAGGCTTAGACATTCGTCCAGTATGCTCGGGGTTGTGGGGTGGTAGCAGTAACCGGCTGGTGACCATCATTTCTTATATCAGAATCAAATCTGTAGATCTCTGCCATTCATAAGTATTTGGAGTTTAAAATTAGCATAAAGATTTTCCTTAAAATAAGAACAAATGGCTTGAGTAGGCTTTTGGAACACAGGATGTTTCCACTGGTTCATTTCTGTGTTCAATATTCCCACATGAATCTAAACACGGCTCTGCTCTTAGTAGCTATGTGACCCTAGGAAAGTCACTCAATCTCCCTCAGCTAAATTTTGTTGTGTGAGTAATGAGGAGAGAGTTGTGATTTGTATTTAGTGAAAAATAACAAACAAAAGGCATTTAGATTTCTGGAACCTGGTATGTAGTAGAACCTCATGAAATACTAGCTCTGTTGAAAAAACTAGACTGAAAGAAGCTTACAAAGTCAACAAGAGTTTGAGGCAGTGAAGGACTTAGAGGAGGAGCTGCTGCTGCAGCCTGTAGCTCCTGGAAGCCCGTTTTGTCCATGATTTAGCAGGAATGCATTACCCTTCCATGAGGAGGCACTGCCCACAGAAACCAAGGCCATTCTTTGAAGACAAACATGTCTTAATAGCCTTTACATTATGTAATAGTGTAATACAAATAATAATTTATTATTAGTAATAATGTGAAATTATTTACAGTACCCTAACCCTAACCCTAACCCCTAATCCTAACCCTAACCCCTAACCCTAATCCTAACCCTAACCCTAACCCTAACCCTAACCCCTAACCCTAACCCTAAAACCCTAACCCTAAAACCCTAACCATAACCCTTACCCTTACCCTAATCCTAACCCTAATCCTTACCCTTACCCTTACCCTGACCCTAACCCTAATCCTTACCCTTATCCTACCCCTAACCCTTAACCCCTAACCGCTAGCCCTAACCCTTAACCCTAACCATAACCCTAAAACGCTAACCCTCATCCTCACCCTCACACCTCACCCTCACCCAAACCATAATCCCTAACCCCTAACTCTTAACCCCTAACCCTAACCCTTGACCCTAACCCTTGACCCTAACCCCTGACCCTGACCCTTAACCCTAACCCTAACCCCTAACCCTAACCCTTAACCCTTAAACCTTAACCCTCATCCTCACCCTCACCCTCACCCCTAACCCTAACCCCTAACCCAAACCCTAACCCTAAACCCTAACCCTAAACCCAACCCAAACCCTAACCTGAACCCTAACCCGAACCATAAACCTGAACCCTAAATCCGAACCTGAACCCGAACCCTAACCATAACCCAAACCCGAACCCAAACCCTAACCCCTAACCCCTAACCCTAACCCTACCCTAACCCAACCCTAACCCAACCCTAACTCTAGCCCTAGCCCTAGCCCTAGCCCTAAGCCCTAAGCCCTAAGCCTAACCCCAACCCCAACCCCAACCCTAACCCTAACCCTTCCTCAGCCTCTCAACCTGCTTGGGTTATAGGTATGAGCCCGGGTGCCTGGCCAAACATTCCATTTTATATGTATATGCTAGGAATGGATAATCTCTACACCAAATTATGAAAATTCTACCTTAAACAATACCAATAGCAATATTATACTTAGGAATAAATGGAATGAAACGACAAGACTTAGATGAGGGAAATTATAAGACATTACTTAAGGAAATTAAACTTCCAGTAAATGTAAAAATGTATCTTATTTGTGGATTTGTAGACCACATTGTTAAGTTTCCCAAAGTACACAAAGCAATCCGTGGATTCGATGTTATTCCTACAAAAATCCCAAAGGCCTTGGGACAGAAGTGGATAAGCTGATCCTGATCACATCCCAATTTCAAATTTTATTACAAAGGAACAGTAATAAAAACAGTGGGATCCTTGCACAGGAATAAACAGAAAGATCAACTGAATTGAATTGGGAGTCCAGACAGAAAACAATACCTCTATGCTCAACTGATTTTAGACAAGGTCCATTACCAGTAAATTGGGGAAAGAATCCTGTCCTCAACAAGTGATGTAAGGCAACTTGCTATCCACATAAAGGGAAATGAAATTGTATCCTTACCTCATACCACATAAAAAATTAACTTACAATGGATCAAAGACCAAAACAGGTGAAAACTAAAAACTCTGGAAGAAAACGTACAGTTAAGCATTCATGACCTTACACGTAGCAATAGTTTCCTACATCTGACACCAAAAGCACAGACCACAAAAGGAAAAATAAATCAATTTATTTCCTCAAAATTCACAACTTTTACGTCTCAGAAGACATGAAGAAAAAAGTTGAAAGACAAAATGTTATAATAGGAAAAACAACTGTCTTATAGTATACTCTCAACACTCAACACAGAACACTTCTGTTACCAGATACATGGGTTTTTTCCCCACACAGACCAAATCTTGGGTACCAGCTGCGTGTCCTACAGTGCAATCCAATTGTGACAGTAAATGGAGAAAGCATCAGACCCCACAGGCTAAGGGCTCAGTCCTAGGAATACACGTCATGCCCCTTGTCGCTTGCAAATTTAAATGACAAACACAAGGATGGTAAAAAGAAAGTGACTTTATGCCAGAGCTTAGCTGAAGGGAACATACAGGCTCTTGCCTTAAGGGAAGCGCTTCCACTTTCTGGGCAGAAAGCTGGGCTTTCGGACTTGCCAGAATGGCATGCAGGGGATGAGGTGAGGAGGTGCGGGGTCTATGGGACATGCTCTGATGTTTTCTCCATTAGGTGGTCTTGCTAGCACCACCACGGGCAGAGCCAGGTTGTAAATTGACTGTTGTCTGCTGCCAATCTACTGGTGGGGGAGAGATATGGAAGTGCCAGTTTGTTTCAAGGTTTGGTCCCTGGAACTTATAAGTAATCACACAGTTGGAAAAGTTTGCAGTATAGGAAGTGTCTGGTGGAGAGACAGTAAAGCTTATAATTGCATTCCTAAAGAGCTAAGTGCAGGAACAGCAAAATGGTAAAACTAATTCATTTCTTCTTTAAGAAAATATGGGTACTAAGTTACAAGACTGTAACCACTTAAGATGCCAACCACAAACAGTAGGTTCCCAGGTTACCTTCTGTCTGACTTTCCTACAGATTGGAGACTCCCACAACACCCTTATTGGGTTCAGCAATTTGCTACATCACATTACACAACCCATGAAAGCAGTGTACTTACTATTCCTGACTCATTACCAAGGATCTTTTAAACACTACAAATGAAAAGCCAGATGAAGAGATGCACAAGGTGAGGTATATGGAAGGAATGCAGGCCTCCCATGCCCTCACCAGATATGATCCTCCCAGTATCTCTTGTGTTGGGAGAGCAACACAGATGCTCTCCCAACCCTGTCCTTTATTACACAGGCAGATTGGTTACGTCTGTGGCCATAGGTGATCAACTCAACCATCAGCACCTCTCCCCTTCACAGAGACGGGACGGGGGAAGAAATTTCAAATTCTCTCATGACAAGGTTGCTTCCCTTGGCAGCCAGCCCCACTGAGGCTGTCCAGGTGCCCCCAGCCATCAATCATTTCATTAGCGTACGAAAGACACATTACTTCGTACATTCCCAAGGCTTAGCGCTCTGTTTCAGGACACTGCAGCAGAGACCACACATTAACTCTTATTACGTTCCAACAACCTATAAAATGGAAGAAAATGTCTGCACATTAGATACTTCATCAGTGTCTGTTATCCAGAATGTATAAAGAACTTTTACAACTCCATAGCAAAGACAACCCAATCTAAAAATTGACAAAAGACACACTTCACCAACAAGCACATGAAAAGATGCTTAACATCATTACCATAATTAAAACCATAAAGAGATAACCCTTAACTCACACAAGAATAGTTATACTAAAAAATAACAAGTGTTGACAAAGATGTGCAGAAACTTGAACTCTTAAACACTGCTTGTGACAATATGAAATGGTGCAGCCTACGTGTAAAATAATTTGATGTTTCCTCATAAAGTTACAAATAGATTTACCATATGAGTTAATGATTCCATTCCTAGGTATATACCCCAAAGACCTGAAAACAACTGTTCAAACAAAAACCTGTATGCTCTTTAAATGTGTCAAGGTCATAAATATGCAGGAAAGTCTGGGGAACAGTTCCAGGAAAAGAAAACTGGATCCTAATAAAAAAAAAAAAAAAAAACACATTATACTCCCAAGTGTGGCATGAGGTAAAACTGAAGTGAGTTTGTGGACCGAATTATCATGTAGGAACAACGCTGATTTCCTGATCTAGGGGTTATGTGGTAGTTACCTGGGAGAGTGTCCATGCTTTCAGTACAATATACCGGAGTATTTTGTGGGACACTGCAAATCTGGTACAGCAATAACTGTTGGGGAATCTAAGGGAAGAAACAAGCTGTACTTTGTACTACTACTGGAAGTTGCCTAGACATATGACATTATTGGAAAATAAGTTACTTTTTAAAACAACCATGTCAATACCATGCCAGGAAAGCAGACACATCATCAAAATCCATTACAGAGGCTATAGTTCAGCCAAAGCTGTAAAACCCTTAACAAAGTCTCAATGTCAACAGAGTCCACTTAGTAGATATTATTATATTTATTAGTATTAGAGGCCATTGTGTCAATATATTAGTGTTAGGGCATGGTATGGATATTTAGATTAGTGTTAGGGAACGGTGTGGATATTGTATTGGTGTTGGGGAATGGTGCAGATATTACATCAGTGTTAGGGCATGGTGTGGATATTATTGCATTAGTATTAGAAGAGATGGTGTGGATTAGATCAGTGATAGGGCATGGTGTGGATATTATTACATTAGTATTGGAAGCGATGGTGTGGACTAGATCAGTGATAGGGCATGGTGTGGATATTATTACATTAGTATTGGAAGCGATGGTGTGGATTAGATCAGTGATAGGGCATGGTGTGGATATTATTACATTGGTATTGGAAGCGATGGTGTGGACTAGATCAGTGATAGGGCATGGTGTGGATATTATTACATTAGCACTGGAAGCGATGGTGTGGATTAGATCAGTGATAGGGCATGGTGTGGATATTATTACATTAGTATTGGAAGCGATGGTGTGGATTAGATCAGTGATAGGGCATGGTGTGGATATTATTACATTAGTACTGGAAGCGATGGTGTGGACTAGATCAGTGATAGGGCATGGTGTGGATATTATCACATTAGTATTGGAAGCGATGCTGTGGACTAGATCAGTGATAGGGCATGGTGTGCATATTATTACATTAGTATTGGAAGCGATGGTGTGGATTACATCAGTGATAGGGCATGGTGTGGATATTATTACATTAGCATTGGAAGCGATGGTGTGGACTAGATCAGTGATAGGGCATGGTGTGGATATTATTACATTAGTATTGGAAGCGATGGTGTGGATTAGATCAGTGATAGGGCATGGTGTGGATATTATTACATTAGTACTGGAAGCGATGGTGTGGACTAGATCAGTGATACGGCATGCTGTGGATATTATCACATTAGTATTGGAAGCGATGGTGTGGACTAGATCAGTGATAGGGCATGGTGTGCATATTATTACATTAGTATTGGAAGCGATGGTGTGGATTACATCAGTGATAGGGCATGGTGTGGATATTATTACATTAGCATTGGAAGCGATGGTGTGGATTAGATCAGTGATAGGGCATGGTGTGGATATTACTACATTAGTATTGGAAGCGATGGTGTGGACTAGATCAGTGATAGGGCATGGTGTGGATATTATTACATTAGTATTGGAAGCGATGGTGTGGATATTACTACATTAGTGTTGGAAGCGATGGTGTGGATTACATCAGTGATAGGGCATGGTGTGGATATTATTGCATTAGTATTGGAAGCGATGGTGTGGATTAGATCAGTGATAGGGCATGGTGTGGATATTATTACATTAGTATTGGAAGCGATGGTGTGGACTAGATCAGTGATAGGGCATGGTGTGGATATTACTACATTAGTATTGGAAGCGATGGTGTGGACTAGATCAGTGATAGGGCATGGTGTGGATATTACTACATTAGTATTGGAAGCGATGGTGTGGATTAGATCAGTGATAGGGCATGGTGTGGATATTATTACATTAGTATTGGAAGCGATGGTGTGGATTAGATCAGTGATAGGGCATGGTGTGGATATTACTACATTAGTATTGGAAGCGATGGTGTGGACTAGATCAGTGATAGGGCATGGTGTGGATATTATTACATTAGTATTGGAAGCGATGGTGTGGACTAGATCAGTGACAGGGCATGGTGTGGATATTATTACATTAGTATTGGAAGCGATAGTGTGGACTAGGTCAGTGTTAGGGCACGGTGTGGATATTACTACATTAGTATTGGAAGCGATGGTGTGGATTAGATCAGTGATAGGGCACGGTGTGGATATTATTACATTAGTATTGGAAGCGATGGTGTTTATTAGATCAGTGATAGGGCACGGTGTGGATATTATTACATTAGTATTGGAAGCGATGGTGTGGATTAGATCAGTGATAGGGCATGGTGTGGATATTACTACATTAGTATTGGAAGCGATGGTGTGGACTAGATCAGTGATAGGGCATGGTGTGGATATTACTACATTAGTATTGGAAGCGATGGTGTGGACTAGATCAGTGATAGGGCATGGTGTGGATATTACTACATTAGCATTGGAAGCGATGGTGTGGACTAGATCAGTGATAGGGCATGGTGTGGATATTATTACATTAGTATTGGAAGCGATGGTGTGGATATTACTACATTAGTGTTGGAAGCGATGGTGTGGATTACATCAGTGATAGGGCATGGTGTGGATATTATTACATTAGTATTGGAAGCGATGGTGTGGATTAGATCAGTGATAGGGCATGGTGTGGATATTATTACATTAGCATTGGAAGCGATGGTGTGTACTAGATCAGTGTTAGGGCATGGTGTGGATATTATTACATTAGTATTGGAAGCGATGTTGTGGATTACATCAGTGATAGGGCATGGTGTGGATATTATTACATTAGCATTGGAAGCGATGGTGTGGACTAGATCAGTGATAGGGCATGGTGTGGATATTACTACATTAGTATTGGAAGTGATGTTGTGTATTAGATCAGTGATACGGCATGGTGTGGATATTATTACATTAGTATTGGAAGCGATGGTGTGGACTAGATCAGTGATAGGGCATGGTGTGGATATTATTACATTAGTATTGGAAGCGATGGTGTGGATTAGATCAGTGATAGGGCATGGTGTGGATATTATTACATTAGTATTGGAAGCGATGGTGTGGACTAGATCAGTGATAGGGCATGGTGTGGATATTATTACATTAGTATTGGAAGCGATGTTGTCAACTAGATCAGTGATAGGGCATGGTGTGGATATTATTACATTAGTATTGGAAGCGATGGTGTGGATTAGATCAGTGATAGGGCATGGTGTGGATATTATTACATTAGTATTGGAAGCGATGGTGTGGACTAGATCAGTGATAGGGCATGGTGTGGATATTATTACATTAGTATTGGAAGCGATGGTGTGGACTAGATCAGTGATAGGGCATGGTGTGGATATTATTACATTAGTATTGGAAGCGATGTTGTGGATTACATCAGTGTTAGCGCATGGTGTGAATATTATATAGGTGTTAGGGCACGGTGTAGATATCATAGTAATGTAGAGCACAGTGTGATTATTATATTAGAGGCCACTGTAAGAATATATATTAGCAGCCACTGTGTCTTGGACGTTGACAATGATATTAGGGTGTACTCCAAATAGTGAGATTTGGGGGCTTTATTTTTCTAGATGAATTTCTTCCTCTGCTGAGTGCTCTAAAGACTCACTCCTTGGCACTCAGGGCCGTGGACAGGAGCTTTTTACTCACCAATGAAGAACACCAAATTAACACGACCCCCGTGCTGCCCTGAGGAAGTTGAAGCTCCTCGCTGCTTCTGGCACTTCAGCGGGAAGTTGGTTGGGGCGGGATCGCGCGCCCTCTGGTGGCGCCATGGTTCAGCACAGACGCTCTTGCTCACAGTTTCTCGGCGGATGTGCGCCCCCTCCTGGCTGTCCTGAAATACCTATAAAATTCAATATTCAGTTTATTCAGTGTCATAATTTTGGAAATTCAAACCGAAATAAAGGCCAGTATATCCATACCCTTCCCATAAATGGTGATGGAAGAATTATTTGGAAGCCATATAGAATGAAATGACTCTATACACAAAGTAAAACACAAAAACCTACTCAAAATAGTCCAGAGACTACAACTTCAAATGCAAAACTATAAATAATCTAAAAGAAAACCTAAGAGACATTGGATCTGGTGTTGAGTTTTAACACACAGCATCAAGTGCCAATTCGTGAAAATACTGAGAACAGACTTTATAAAACTAAATTTTCTACTATGAAAAACCCTATTCAGAGAACAAAAAGACAAGACACACTGTCAGAAGATATTTACAAAATACAAACGTGATTTTAAAAACTGTATTGAAAATACACAAAGAACTCTTCAAACGAACACTAAGAAAACTAAAAACCCAAATAAAACTGGGTAAATATCTGAACAGACATCCAGCCAAAGAAAATATATAGATAGCAGGCCAGGTGTGGTGGCTCATGCCTATAACCCCAGGACTTTGGGAGGCTGAAGCGGGTGAGTCACCTGAGGTCAGGAATTTGAGATCAGCCTGGCCAACATAGTGATACCCCCTCTCTACTAAAAATACAAAAAAATTAGCCAGGCATGGTGGTGGGTGCCTGTAATCCCAGCTACTTGGGAGGCTGATGCAAGAGAATTGCTTGAACATCGGAGGTGGAGGTTGCAGTGACCCAAGATCACGCCACTGCACTCCAGCCTGAGTGACAGAACGAGACTCTATCTCAATAAAATAAAAAAAAAAGAAAATATACTGATAGCACATAATCACACAAAAGGATGCTCAATATATCTCATTAGGAGACTGCAAATTAAAATAATGCTGAGATATCACTGCACACCTAGTACAACTGTGGGACTCTTAAAAAAGCTCAACAGTAACAATTGGAGGTTGAAGAACAATAGGTACGGCCATTCATTACTGGCAGAATGCATGAATGGGTACAGCCACTTTGGGAAATAGTTTGACAGTTTTTCCCAAAGATAAACAAGTGTTACCTTACAATCCAACAAATGCACCCCTAAATTGTGTATGTTTAGACAGCTGCTTTGAAAAATTATGTTCAAACAAAAACTAGCATGTAATTATATACGAGCCACTCTACTCATAATGGCCAAAACTTGAAGTAGTCAGAACGTTCTTCAATAGCTGAATGCATAATCAATTTGAAGTACAACCATGCAATGGAATACCATTCACCAACAGAAAGGAATGAACTGTCAATCCATGAAAACAAATGAATGAATCTTGCATCTATGTTGCTAAGTAAAGGGTGGCAGTATGAAGATGCTATACATTATATGACTCCATTCATATAACATTCTGGAAAAAGCACAACCAAAGAGATGATAGTCAGATCAGTGACTGTCTGGGGTGGGGATTTGAAGTATTCTGTATGCTACTTCAGTAGTGGATATCTGACACTATGCATTTGATAAAACCCACAGAATTTTAATGCACAAAGAACAAATCACAAGCTACACAAATTAAATTATTTAGGATGTGGAAGTATATAAGGACAAAATACAGAGTGCAACCAAGAATCTAACTGTATTACCAATGTATGTTGCAAGTGGTGGGCCAAAGGTGCTGAGCTGGAAATGAGTAGAATCCATACACTAAAAACAAAACGTACTATATACACGAACAGTGGACTCTATTTTATAAAGTTATTTCCCATAGGGATAATAGTTAATTTTGAAACTACTATATCTGTAAAAAGAAAAATAACCATGATTTTCCTCTATACTATCAACACTCCACTTTTAACAGCAAATTGTGGGGGGTGGGGGGTGTTTCCCATACCAACCAATATTCCAACTCTCTGGAAAACAATTGGGTATCCTGTAATTCAACTGTGACACTGATTACCTGGAGTTAGTATACACCCTACAGGTTAAGGGCTTAGTAACACCAGACTGTCCACAACCTCAGATGCCAATCACAAGTTGTGAATCCCCAGTTTACCCAAACTTCTATATGACTTGGCTAGAAACTAGGCATTCCTACACCCCCTCTTCAGGTTTGACAATTTGCTATGATGGCTTATGGAACTAGGAAATACTTACTTATGTTTACTAGTTATTATGGTCTCAATGTGTGTACACCCCCACCCCAAATTCCTATTTTGAAATGTAATCCCCAAAGGGATGGTATTCAGAGGTAACCGAGAGGTGATCGGATCATGAGAGTGCTGTCCTCATGAATGAAACCAGTGCCCTTATAAAAGCATCTAGGAGCCCGTTTCCCCATTCTGCCATGTCACGACATGCTAGAAGGCACTATCTATGATAGATGAGCCCTCACTAGACATCAAATCTGTCAGCCTTGATCTGGAACTTTCCAAATTCCATATTTTAGGAATTTTTATGGAAGCTTCATCATGTAGACATGACGGATTATTAACTCAATTTCCAGTCCCTTCACACCCTCAAAGGATTGCATGTTAAGCTAAAAGTTACAACCTTCTTATCATGGCTTGGTCTTTCTGGTGACCATCCCCATCCTGAAACCATCCAGGAACCCACAGAGTGTCCTTATTAGAACAGAAGCCATTCCTATTATCCAGGAGATTCCAAGAGATTTAGGAACTCTGCGTCAGGAACCAGGGCCAAAGACCAAATATTAGAACACAAGATGCTCCTAGCACCCCTACTGTTCAGGAAATTATAATAGTTTTAGAAGCTCTGTACCAGGAACTGCAGACACAGACCAAACATATATTTCTTATTAAGTCCCAACCTGGAATCTTGATCAAGAATGAATTCCTTGTTCCCAATGGTACAAGGGATGAAATAAATGGCAGATAGTAGGAGCCAGGTTCCTCATTATTACAGTGAGAAGTTACAGATAAAAAATAGGGAAGCCTAGAATGATCTCTGTCATAATGAGTCAGAATGTATATATACAACGTAAGTATAAACTCACATTTAGCTTAACATATACATAGATGGTTCCACATAGAAACCTTTATAATTAAGTGGGTACATATAAGTTAGAAGACACACATATATTTCTTTGCACTGTCAGCTGTAAGTGTCATGATGCAATGACCACATTTAGTGGCCAGATGTAAGTTTTTCATACCATTCTCTAACAAAAGAAATCAGGGCTATTAGAAGAAATAGCTGAAACTAGGACTGGGACAGAAAATATATGAGCCAGGGTACTTTTGAAGTAACAGAAATAAATTATAAAAAAAACATGAAATTATGTAAAAGGAGCCAGTGGAAAGAGCTACCAATGGCCACAGGTATGAACAAAGAGCAACAAAATACTGTACAATTAGATAACAACCAAAAGATTAAAGTAACTATCTGTGGACCCATACTGGTATAAATAAATGATTAAACAGATATGCAAATGGGCTGAATAGAAATCTCTTATACAGAAGAATTCCAAATACCTGATACAGACAGCCATCAAGGAGGTGGGGCTAACTCCCCACTCCTTTAAGTATGAGCTCTGCATGATGACTTCCTCCAAAAGCATACATACAATATAGACATGGGAAAAAAGTAACTTTACAGTGAAAAACCTGAAAACACTGCCTCAACCAAGTGATAAAAGTTAACATTAATGGTGATAACACATCTTGAGAGCATGAAGTGACTAGACTAGCACTTGCAAACCAAAAATAAAATTCAAAGATCTTTCCCCCAACCACCTCTCCACCAGGGGACACCAAAGTTAACCTGGAAGACTGGTTCAGGCTATGATGGGAAAGAGGTGGTCAGACATGCCTCATTATGCCCTCCTCCCTTTTGGAATTCAGGAAAAGCCAATCAGCATTTAACATCAACACAACCTTAAATCTGATAAGAAACATTTACAATCTATTCTCTCTGAAGCCTGCTACCTGGAAGCTTCATTTCCATGATAAAACCTTGGTCTCCATAACCCCTTATCATAACCCAGACACTCCTTTCTATTGATAGTAAGTCTTTCAACAAACTGCCAATCAGAAAAATTTTAAATGTACCTATAACCTGGAAGCCCCCCCCCCACCCTAATCCATTGGGTTGTCCCACCTTCCTGGACCGAACCAATATATATCTTAAATACACTTGATTGATGTCTCCTATCTCCCTAAAATGTATAGAACCAACCTGCACCCCAACGACCTTGGGCACATGTTCTCAGGGTCTCCTGAGGGCTGTGTCAAGGGCCATGGTCACTCATATTTGGCTCAGAATACATCTCTTAAAATATTTTACAGTCTTTGACTCTTTTTGTGGACACACTACACATCTGCTCTGCTTCCCCCAAACCCCTAAACCCAGGCTGATTATGAGAAAAACCCCAAGTAAACCACAATGGAGGACATTCTACACAATACCTGACCAATCCTCCTAACACTGTTCCAGGTCCTCAGAAGTAAAGTCTGAGAGATTGTCACAGCCAAGAAGAGCCTGACATGATGACTAAATGTCCTATGGGATCCTAGATAGGATCCTGGGAGAGAAAAAGGCAGAACTAAGGGAAACCAAATAAGATGTGAGCTTATTTAATAATATAGTAATATCCAGTCATTAAGTATGACAAGAAATGATGTAAGATGTTGGTCAGGAGTGGTGGCTCATGCCTGTAATCCCAGCACTTTGGGAGGCTGAGGCAGGCGGATCACCTGAGATCAGGAGTTCAAGACCAGCCTGGCCAACGCGGTGAAACCTCATCTCTACTAAAAATACAAAAATTAGCCGGGCATGATGGCAGGCACCTGTAATACCAGCTACTCAGGAGGCTGAGGCAGGAGAATCGCTTGAACCTGGGAGGCGGAGGTTGCAGTGAGCCGAGATCACGCCACTGCAGTCCAGCCTGGTTGAGACTCTGTCTGAAAAAAAAAAAAAAAAAAAAAAGATGTTAAACCTATCTGATACATGTTGGTATGTTAAAAAGCGGGGAAACTAGGTTGCGTCTACATGGGAAATCTGCATTTTCTTCCCAATTTCTGTATGAATCTAAAACTAATTTAAAATAAAACCTCTATTTAAAAATTGTAATTTTTTCAGATATCTGCTAAATTATTTGTACTAAAAATTAGTAATTGACAGTAACTACTCCTACTTTTAAAAATAAGAGCATTCATGATACTGCAAAGTAAATTATACAGACTAATATATACTTTCAAAGAAATGCCCCTTTTACATGTTTTATGTTAAGATAACATATATGTGTAAACATGGTCATATCATTTTCCTTATGGTGTAGTTCACTCTCTAAGAAAGCTGGTCATCTTAGAACCAGGGAAAAAAATTCACATTTTGGAGACTATTTCAATTTACGGCTGGACGTTTTCAAAGTATGACTTTGCGAAAAAAAAAAAAGTTCAAATTGATTCATTGTGACTGGATCACTTATTCTAATGAATGCTTGCCTTTATTTTGTTTCCCAGCATTCCTTTCAGCTACGATACAAAAGAAGCAAATATTTGCCACTGGAAAAAATATTCAAAGACACTCTTAGGTTAATCTATAGCTGATGACAGTCAGTCTAGTCTACATAGCAAGCAGCTTCAAGATATGATTACTTAGCTAAGCGGGAAATGGGACGTGACTGCTGCCTCATTCCCACGCCTCTCTGGACCTGATAATTTAGAGGAAGCTCACATTCGCAAGATAAAAATTTTCTTTTCCTTCTCAGTATTAAATATGCTGTCACAATAGAAGAAAGCTTTACTGACTTCTTAAATGACGTGTTGAGACCGGAACCCTAAAATGATAGTTACTGAGGATAGTGCTAATGCCCTAAGACCGGAAACCTAAAATGATAGTTACTGAGAATAGTGCTAATGCCCTAAGACCGGAAACCTAAAATGATAGTTACTGAGAATAGTGCTAATGCCCTAAGACCGGAACCCTAAAATGATAGTTACTGAGAATACTGCTAATGCCCTAAGGTTTTAGTCACACCCTCACCTAGGCAGGAACCCAACCAAAAGGGGAGAACTGTGGAACAAACTACGGGAGGTCATTGTTTCGGTCACCACTCCCGCATTAGGCCACACTGAGCAGGCAAAACCAGAATGGAGACACTCACGCTGAATGACACACAACGAAGCTGAAACTTTAAGGAAGTAGACAGATCCCAAAAGAGCTCCCTTTTTCCCTGAAGAGATTCCAGTCTACCTGAGTCAGCATAAAGAAGTCCCCTCTGCTTTAATTCTTACCAAAACAAGTAACTTGAAGTAATCTGATGTTAACAAATCAGTTGTTATTTTCTATTGCTCTATTTCCGCCTTACACAACACAGTGTTCTGCTATTGCCCAGAGGGCACTGAGACCAAATAAAACTTGAAAATGCCACACTGAAAGCAAATAAGTACTAATAACTCAATTTACAACGATAACAAAGAGTGACACCAATGCCCAAAGTTTTGATCAATATCTCAAAATTGAGAGGCTGACCAAAAGGGAGGAATTCTTACATCAAACAACATTTGGGCTCTAGAAGCCTCCCAAGGAGTCCTTGTAAAGAGTCGCGGCCGGGCGCCGTGGCTCACGCCTGTAATCCCGGCACTTTGGGAGGCCGAGACGGGTGGATCATGAGGTCAGGAAATCGAGACCATCATGGCTTACAAGGTGAAACCCAGTCTCTACTAAAAAAAAATACAAAAAAATTAGCCGGATTTGGTGGCGGCAGCCTGCAGTCCCAGCTACTCGGGAGGCCGGGACAGGAGAATGGCATGAACCCGGGAGGCGGAGCTTGCTGTGAGCTGAGATCGCGCCACTGCACTCCAGCCTGGGCGACAGAGCGAGACTCCGCCTCAAAAAAGAAAAAAGAAGAAGAACAAGAAGAATCGCAACCTAATTTAGTATAGAAACAAACTGTAAATCTGACTTGGGAATGTATCATGGTAACAAATAGCGGCGGTTCAGCCAATCACATCAGCCGAGTGTCAGTCAATGGCCGGCAGCCAGCTGTTCAAAACAAGTTCCAAGAAGGCAAATCCGGGCTGTAACCAGGTCTGTAACCAATCCAGCCACCTCTATACCTCACTTCTGTTTTCTGTATGTCACTTTTTTTCTCTGGCTATAAATATAACCCGCACATGTTGTGTGGCAGATCATTCTGAACCATTTTTGGTCTGGACTGCTGCCTGATTCTAGAACCACAAAAAAAGCCAATTAAGATCTGCAAACCCACATTTGTTGTAATTTTGTATTTTAACAGTTGTGCCCTACAAAAGACATTAAGCTGAAATTAATTAAAAATCATTTACGGTCATGATTAGGTCATAAAAAATTGTCAAACATAACAATTCTTCAAAAAAAGCTAAAAAGTATATTTTAAAAACATTGTTGATGGAAAAAAGAGTGCAAAAGTAGATAGGAAAATTATGTACAAAACTAAAAACAGAGGAGAAATTAAAAGTCAAATAATTGCATCAAACTGGAAACCTAGAAAAAATGGGTGATTTCCTAGTAAAAATACACATTAACAAAATGGGCACTGAAATAAGGCAACTATGAATATACCAATTAGCATAGAAAAGCTAAGAAAGGTCCTTAAAGATCTCCCAGTGGAAAAAGGCCCCAGGACCATCTGGGTCCATAGCTTAGTGTAAGCTGACTTAACTAAATGTGATTTTACACTCGTGCATTGCATACATACGATGGTGGTCCCATGAGATAAAAATGGAGCTGAAAAATTCCTTCCTAGCCATCTTGTCATAAGCTCATGGCTCAACGCATTACCTTTTCTCTGTTCTGATACCATGAAAGGAAAATAAATCTCAGGACCCCCAAATCACTAAGCCAAGGGAAAAGTCAAGCTGGGAGCTATGTCAGGCAAACCTGCCCTCATTCTATTCCTAAGATAGCTACAAAGATAAAAAGCTACATACCTCACTCACAATTTGCCCACAAAGAATTTCCTTTTGGACAAAGGACAGACAGCACTCAAAGTCATCCCTCACCTGAGACAGATGCATATCTGATTGCTTCCTCTGCCCTATTATTTATGTAAAAATGCAGATTCATTGAGCCAGACTAAATTGTGTATTCAGTGGAAGGCTGATGAAGGATTCAAAAGAATGCAACCTTTTGTCTCTAACCTACTTCTGACCTGGAAGCACCCCCACTTCCTGCTTCCAGTTGTCCCGCCTTACTGGGCCAAATGACTGTACATCTTACACGTCTCATGTATCCCTAAAATGTACAAAAGCAAGCTCTACCCTGGCCACCTTGGACACACGTCGTCAGGACCTCCTGAGGCTGTGTCATGGGCGTGTCCTTAATCTTGGCAAAATAAGCTTTCTAAATTGACTGAGACCTGTCTCAGATATTCTGGGATCACAATCTACAATCACCATGGTGTTATGGTTGACTACAGCATTCAGTACAGAGACATGCTGTACAGGTTCGTAGCCTGGGAGCAATAGGCTATACTATGTAACTTAGGTGTGGAGTGGGCTACACCATCTAAGTTTTATAAGGACACTCTACAGTGTTCACACAAAGATGAAATCACCTAAGGACAGATTTCTCAGAAAGTATAACATCGTTACGAGATGCCTGAGTGTATTTTAAATGGTCAAAGCCTAGGAGAAAAAAAGAAACTTAACTCTTGTTATGGGTTAATAACGAAGCTTAAGAGAGTTAACATATTTCATCTAATCTAAGATGCCAATGATTAAAAGACATTACTTTATGCACCATCACAAATAGGTTGCCAATTAAACCGACTTTCTGAATAACACACAAATGTGAATTTACTTCTATTAATGCCAGGAAAGTAAAATGAAAAATAAATTATGGTTTTGACATGTTAAAGCAAATACGGCGGGGGTTAGCCTGAGGCCTTCCCTAAGCAAACAGAAACCGAACTTGGAGGCATTTGAACTGACTTAAAAAAATTAACAAACCAACCACAGTCAATGCCAAAAAGCCCAGCAGCCAGTTGGCTGTATGACTAGGGACGCTGAGGGAACCATCCCCACAACAGGCGGTGGCCTAGCTGGAGCCACTGAGGAGCCTCACTTAGGGGCCACCCTAAGAGCTCGAAGCCCCAAGCCGATTTCCGTTCTGGTGCTTCCCGCGTGATTCATGAACCATTCCTTTGCCGAAATAAACTCCGCTTAAATTTATTTTACCTAAAATCCTTTTAACAGACAAAGTCCAGTATTTACACTTAAAACACGGTTGTGAAAACTCACATCTACATCTGCTCTTCAATATTTTTCAAGTACTTTAACACTCTAAGAAAAACGAGCCACTGGAACGCAAATAAAAGCAAGTCGTGGGGTGCGCGTCTCCCTGGGGCTCTCCATGTTGCCCTCAGGGTTTCTCCCTTCTCTGTCCCGGATCCACCCCAAACAAACCCAAATTGGTCAAAAATTAAAAAATGAAACAACTCAGGTATGCTGTAATAATGAATAACAAAGCCACTTAATGATGGGCCACTTTGTAAAATAAAATAAATACAACTTGAGAAAGTGGAGCGCGAGGCAGCGCGGCCTCCTCCGCACTGAGCCGGGACAGAAAGCTTTTTCCTCACCTTTCCTCGGGCAGCCTCGGGGACCATGAAGCCACAGCTTCCCCAGTCGTTCCTGAGGAGCTGAGGAGAAGGAGGCTGGGTCGTCCCTGGCCACGGTCCCCAGGTGTTCCTAGAGAGCCAGCGGCGTCTCCCGAGTGGGTCCTGAGGAGGAGGAGGCTGGGCCCTCTCAGGTGTCCCTGTAGGGATGACGGCGCCTCTTGCGTAGGTCCTGAGGAGACGGCTCGGCTCCGCCCCCTGGAGCCGCAGGCCGTCTGTGCCGGAACCCGGGCGCCGCTTGAGGTTCTGTGAGGCGGCATCGCGCCCCCTGACGGCCGTCGCAGGCGGTGCAGGATGCTCAGGTGCTCGCGGTCGAGCTGTGGCCTCGCCCCTCCGGTGGATCTCCGAAGTTCACTGTTCTGACAATTACACGCCATGACTTTTGAAAAACCAGCTGAGGCCGGGCGCGGTGGCTCACGCCTGTAATCCCAGCACTTTGGGAGGCCGAGGCGGGCGGATCGCGAGGTCAGGAGATCGAGACCATCCTGGCTAACACGGTGAAACCCCGTCTCTACAAAAAACAAAAAAACAAAAAAAAATTAGCCGGGAGTGGTGGCGGGCGCCTATAGTTCCAGCTACTCGGGAGGCTAAGGCAGGAGAATCGCTTGAACCCGGGAGGGGGAGGTTTCAGGGAGCCTCCTCTAAACAGAAAAGACCGACCCCTAGTCAGTGTTTTATTTTCCCTGATGACCGCAGGCCATGAACTTATGGAACAATAACGTAATTAGGCTCTTGGACCCAGGGAAGTAGCTCCATGCCACCTGCCCTCATTTGCTGAGCATTTTGGTTTCTCGGATCTGCTACTCAGTTTCCAGTCTCCTCCTCCCTGCCAATGCTGCCAGCGTGCCTCTTCTGCAAGCAGCAACCGCCTTCCACCTTCCATTCTCTACTCTTTAGCCATCATCTGGCTGGACTTTTCAGAATGGACTGCAAAGGAGAATAAACTGGCTGAGTCTGAGGGTGCACTCACGTGCAAAGTTGCAAGCTTTAATGTACCCATCTTGGCAGATTTTGGCTCCTTAGAGTTCTTTCTCATTTGGGGATCTCATGTGCCCTCTGATGAGGTGGGCTCACTGACTGTCTGCGCTGGTGGCATCTGGCAGCACCTTGTCACGTGCACCTAGGTAAGAACCTGGCTGCACCTGATGCTTAGCCAAACGGGGAACCCACAGTTCTGTGTATCAGGTGATGTTTAATCTCTGGAGGTTAATGAACATGAGGGAGCGATACTGTCTGGGACTCTCCACATATTGCGTCTGAGTCACTGAAGGAAAAGAATGTGGGGTCTGTTTGCTGGGACTGGACACCTCCATAATCACATGCTCCATGAAATGCAGGCAGGAGATCTCGCTTTCTACCTCTGGGATGGGAGTGTGCAGTTTCAGAATGAGACTAGCCCACACAACTGACTATTTGGGAAAGAGAAATGAAATCAGATGCAGCAATTTAATATCCACTAAGATGATATCTTAATCACAAACACTCTTCTGGTTTTTAGAAATGTGAATGTTATTTACACTAGGTTAAAAAACCTGAATATCCAACAGCATGACACCGACTAAAGAAATACTGGCGCACTCTGGAACCTTGCACACCACTTATTGGCATGGGAACAATGGGAACACGCCTATGCAAAGATGTGCATGGAAATTAGAAGAATGCAACACTGTAGAACAGATGTGACTAGGTGCATGATCAAGAGCACACAAGACCAAGCCTGCCTCTGCACACACAAGACAGCGCCTGAGTCTGCACCACGTGACGGGACCACTGTGGAGCAAGCCTGGGAGATTCTGATGTAGGCAGCAGAGGCGTCACTTAGGGACCAGACTTCCGTGGGAAACCACCATCTCCTTCCAACCCAGATGCGCTTCATGGCAAACGCGAGCAGATGAAGGTCATGTAGGAGACGAAAGAACTCGCTCCCCAAGCCCATAGGCCTTTGTCCTCCACCCATGGACCGAAGCATCTTGTTAGATGAGGGCCGCCCGCAGCCAGGGCCGGCGGAGAACCTGCCACGGAGCAGGTGTCCGTAAAGAACTGCTGACTGTCACTGTCCCTACTTGGGGGCCACTGGGGGATCTGATGCATCTCACTACCCTTTGTAAAGGAATTATTGAAAATGTCAGCCCTCTAACAAGGCATAGGTTGATTAGTTACAGGATTTAACATTTCTATTTTAAAAGGCAGCATTGAAGAATGTCTTTACAAAGGCTGTACAAAACCTGCCATATTCTTTGTCACACAGATTGACTCATGTGCAATGCAGCCATTTGATGAAACACTGGCATTTACCAGATGTAAACTTATTAGCAGACGACAACTAGAAATAGTGTGCTGGATGTGCCCGTTTATTTATATGAATATAACCATCTCTCTAGATGCATCGAAAGATACACAACATGAGATCCACTTTATTTCTACAAGTTTATGATCAGGTGGTCAGGACAGGGAAAGAAGAGGAAAAAACTTTAAATCATGGACCTTTATTCTTAGACACCTTTATCCTACATACACAAGGGACATGCATGGTTGAAATAACGGAAACAAGTGGATAAAAGTGAAAGTAACTTAAACAGCTTTACCCAGGAATGCCCAATTCAGGTGCTGCAGAGAAGAGCATGAGAACCGGGTGTCTTCAGGACAGGTGTGCATCTGGGAGCAGAGTGGGCGTTCATCAGCAGGGAGGAGCAAGGCCTGGGTCGGGGGACACTGGGGCTGCTGTCCCAGAGGCTGGCAGTGTAGCTCTGAACCCCCAAGACTTCACTGAGTCTCCCCTCAACCACCTAAACCAGAATAAACTGATGTAGCAGGACTCCTCAAACACTGTGCAGGGTCTCCATGTCCTCGATGGCCCCTGATGAGCCACAGTACCCTCAGGTCCTGGTGAAGGAGCTGGTGCTGCCTCCTGCCTTTCCCCACATGGGGTCCTGCAGCTCATCCCACACAGCCTCAGATTCCCTCTACAGAACCTGCCCACAGATGTCTTCCGAGACAGGCAATACTGGGAGGCCTGTGGCCCAGACCCAGGAGGAACCAGCTGAGAGGCTCCGTGGAGGTATCGCTGATGGTGTAACCAGAATGAAAATGCCCACTTCTGTTCTGCTCCCTGAGAACAACTGTCAAGCCAGCATGAGTTTCCAGTTGGAACTTTTCCTTTTCTCCCCATGTTTGTCGCTGTTTTAATGGACATTGCCTGGCTATTAAATCCCCCGATGAACTCACTTTGAAAATTATCTTTTGCACTGGGCACCCTTTCAGGAATCACTGAGTGTTAATTTTCTCAGTCTGAGTGATAATTTATGAGTCAAACAAGGACAGATCTGAAGCCAGAGGCTGCTCCTGTTGGGAAATCCCTGAGGATGATGTTCCAGGGAAGCCTCCAGCCTTGGGAGTCCCGTGGAACTGAGCCAGCCCAGGTCATGAAGGGAGCTGGTGCCAGACACTGACTGGGGACCTGCTGGCCTCTGGGCAGACCGCTCTGTCCCTGCACTTGGCCTGCCAGGTATCCCTGTGCAGTCATACCAAGTCCTGTGCTCAGAAGGGCCCCAGAGTAGTTTAAAGCTCTGCTGCCGCCCCTGGAAGCTCATGATTTTGAACAACAACAGCAAAAAAAAACCCACGTTTTCCACTCGGCCCCACACATTATGTGGCCTGCGCAGCTGTCAGGCTGTGGCCACAGTGCTGGCATCTCTCACACAATGAAGGCTGCTGGAGTCCTGGCTGACTTGTTTTGACTCTTTTGTGAGGCCCACACCTAAGCTAAACACTCACGTGCCCCCACACTGACTCCCCACACTCTAAAGCATGAATCTGCCCCTTTAGCTGGGAGAGGGTCCTCGTGTCATCTGGGTTTTTGGAGAGAAGGTCAAGGGAGCCTGGGTTCTAGTTCTTCAGTAATCAAGAGTAAGGGTCTTACCTGTTCACAGTTCCCTGTGGCTGCTTTACAGAAAGCAGGAAGTGGCCACTTCAGCCACACGGCTGCATTTCCAGCTCAGTCCAGGCAGAGCTGCACCCTGCCTTGCACCTCTGCAGTTCCTGAGGGGAGTCCTTAACTGAGCCAGGGCGAGTCCTGGGGGCACTCTGCCCCTGTGGACACTGCCCCTGGGCAGGCCATGAATCTCCTCTGCTCCCACACTCTAGAGTTCAACGGGTCTCAGGGGCTCTGCCTGAGGACTGCCCTTCAACCAGGTATTCGTAATTTCCCCAAGACCCAGGCTTGCTGAGTCACTCAGTTACCTGAATGCTTTTTTCACAAAGGGATGACTGTGCTGCTCCGTCTTCCTTCTTTTTTGTTTGCAAGGCCACAGGGAAATCTGGATCCTCTGGTGAAAAAGCAAATCCAGTTGCTGCTGCTGCTGCTGCTGCTGCTGCTGCTGCTGCTGCTGCTGCCGCCGCCGCCGCCGGTTCTTGTAAATGTCCTCACTTGGTTTCTGGGCAGCAACTTCCTTGACTTGCCTGGGGAGCGGATCTGAGCTGCATTTACCAGGCCATGCCCAGGGGAAGTGATCAGTGTGGGACCGTGAAGCTGGATTTCCCCAGGAGCTCCCTCCAACCTTCTGGGATGATGATAAGACTTGGGATGAACCAAGGATCTTGAACCATGGGACAATGTGAAGTCTAGACCTAGTGGAGGAAGAGAAAGGCTACGGGAAGGGCAGGCTTCACGTTACTGAGCATCCGCTACCTGCCACACACTTTCACGTGGCCTTATTCTGTGTGTTTCTCACAGCACCCTTGAGAAATAGAGACTACGATCACATCTTTTACATAAAAGAAAACCACCATCCAGGGAGGCGAAGTCCCTTGCTCACAGACTGTCATGTGGGAAGCTCTCTGGATGCAATGATGTCCTCCAGTTGCATTACCAGGCAAGCTGTCCCAGAGTTCATGGAGCGGAAAGGCTCGAGAAGCAACTGAGGATGCTCGAATCACAGGTTTATAAAATCCATTCATAAAACACAGCAAGAAGCTGAGGGAAGGAGATGGGAGGGCCGTATGACCTGATTCCTGTGCTGTCAACATTCATCAGTTCTCTTCTTTCTCTGCTAGTCAACCTCACCCACTCAGGTGTGACCACGAGGACCAGAGCCGAGGTCTGGGCAAGAGTGCTCACAGCTGAAGGGCTTATGACACACACCGGCTCAACGGGACAGACATGGGACAAGTGTGCCTGATCATGGTGGCGTTGCCAAGAAGCAGCTGTCGCACTGCCATGGGTTCTACGTGTTTCTTGGGCAGAGGACGCATGGGACCAGAATGGGCACCAGGAATGGTGGTGAACAAAGGCCCCATGGTTCTGCATGTTTAGGTGTCTCTTGTATAAAGGCACATTGTGAATTGAACATTTAGTGCCCAGGAGCCTCATGCATATTAAGTATCTCTTGGCCCTTGTGTCTCTTCCTTCCCACATGTAACATACCTGTTCTCTGTAACTATCTATTCTGAACGTATCTAAAAACCATGTCTTGCCTGTGTTATACAAACCACATGCATACTCACGTTCTCTGATGTAGCTGAATGTTTCCTAAGGCCAGGGCACATTTCAGGGTCACATAGAGTGGAGAGAGGGACCAAAATAGCCTTGCTCTGTTTGACTCCCAGCCGAGATGTCTGCTGGGCAGCACTGCCTCTGTAGGCTCTAATGGGGGAAGGGAGCTCAGGGGAGCCTCTGGGGCTGGGCAGGCTACCAGAGGGTGTGGACATTTGGGTGGACCCTGACGGAGGACTTGGGTTTCCTTGGGAGGAAGTGTCAGGAAGGGCATCTGGGGCTGAGAGCACTGTGTGGGCAACAGAAGGAAGGAAACTGTGGCTGGCTGGGAAGGGATGGTACGGGGGACAGGGTGAGACTTCTGGCCCTGGGTGCTCAGATGAAGACCTGGGGTTGCCTAGTGGCTGGAAACACACACCAGCTGTGGCAACTTGACCTCTGGGATGTGAGTGTGCAGGCAGCTGCTGAGAACGGCTGTGGATTTGGAGATGTGGCTACAGGGAATGGGCAGTGGATTCATCTGGGAATTCTGCAGTCAGTGGCCCATAGAGGAAACAGCCTGGAAATGAGACTGCAGATACGTGCTAAAGAGGCTGGAGGAACAGTGACCCCAGTACAAGTTTATGGATCTTATCCACAATCTAAAGAAATGGAGGCCAAATGGCTTTTGAAATTCTAAAATACATGCAGAGGAAGAGTAATGCTTCATGGGAGAGCCAGACTCTTACTGGCAGTGACGCTACACGGTAGAGCTCTGTTCCTCCTGCCCATGTCTGTGGTTGGGGCTGGGGTAGTGCATAAACATGACGCTGATGAGGCCCAAGCATTGTTGGAAAAGAATTCAGCAGCTGCCACAAGAATCTTGAATCCGTGGGTGAAGACCTTGACTTTTTCTGGGACCAATGTGGTCAAGAACAAAGTAAAATAATGACAACAAACACTGTTCAGTTTTCCAAATATAAGCTATTTTAAATACTCTACATTTACCCTCAAAGACTGACATAACTTAGAATAACTTTTATAACAGCAAGGATGAGAACTAAAACTTAAATTGTAAATACAATTTTATTTATAAAAACAAAGTTAGCTTCAAATATTTTATGAACTAGTAGAATTTTAACCTTTTGTCACATTTCCCAGCAAAGTAAATAATTCTTTTTTTCACTTCTAGTCTGTCAGAAGAAAAGTCTTAGCTGAAATGGCCAGAAACTCTGAGGCACACTCCGGAGGCTGCTTCCGGGGCACCTCGGCACGGCCGCTTTTCCATCCCGGCCCTCACTTGATGCGGTCCAGCAGGGTTGAAATTGTTTGAAATGCTTGTTCCCAGTGCGGTAAAGAAATAGCACTTGAATGTAAATTTAATTTCCTCAGCAAGGCCATTTTTTTTTTTTAATTTCTGCAGAAAGTGTACACTCGCCAGCAGTTTTGCCACAACAGTATACTGAGCAAAGGAGACAGGGTCATTTATAACCTGACGCATCCACCCTACTGCTGTGTCCAGTTTCCAGTGGCTGGAACGGGACCTCACATTCTGTATTTGTCCCGATTGGCTAGCAACTTAGAACTTTTTTAAAGAGGAAAAGGCAGAGGAGAACAAAGGAAGGAGGAAGTAACTTGTGGAATGCTGAAAAAAGTAAAAACACCTTCGAATAAAGAAGAGGAACAGGCAATGACCTAAAGCTTGCTTGGACTAGTATAAGCATGCCAGGGCAAATATTTAGGCTAAATTGTGGGAGCTAAGAACATAAAGTACATTGATTTCTTTATTAGGGCTAGCAGATGTTTAAGAATGTTAGCACGGGTCTTTGAATAAATTTTGCTTCTAAGAGAAGTTACTATTTATTTCTAATGAGATGGGAAGGAAAGTCTTTGAAGAGGAAACTCTACTTTTTACAGAAGTAGGAACTTAGACTTACAGTTTGCACATTGACAAACTTGTTTTCCTTCCGTACACGAGGGGTTTATGATCCTCTGTTGCAACTGATTTGTCTTATGTAACTTCAAGAGTTACTCGTCAACCTACTTACTATTCTGGACTTTTCGGGAAATGGCAATTTGCCTTCCTATTTAGTGGGAGGGATACTGAGACTGCACTTTTTCTTACCCCAAGAAGTGCACAGTGTCATTGCAATGTCAACATCAGGGAGATCTCAGCCAGTGTGAAATAATTAGATCGTCCACTCAAAATTCTTAGTTACATCTTTTTAATATTTTCTTCACACTTCTTAAAAGCAGCTTAACAAGAATTGCATTAGTCAGGGTTTTCCAGAGAAACAGAAAAGAGAGGAGGAGATGTCCAGAATTGTCTCGTGTGATTACAGAGGCTAGAATCCAAGGAAGAGTGGCTTGAGTCCAGGGGCAGAATTCCCTCTTCCCCTGGGAGGTCAGTATTTCTTCCTTTAAGGCCTTCAACTGATTGGATGAGACCCACCCACATTATGGAGCATAATCTGCTTTACTAAAAGTATACTGGCTTAAATGCTAATTTCATCTGAAAAATACCACAGAATAATGTTGACCAAGTACTGGGAGAGGCCTTTTCCTTCGTCTTTTGGTAAATTGCAATCCCTGGGTATATTCACATTTGAAACTCAAATGTGGGCATTGGCTACTGCAGGCCTTTCCCGGCTCAATGGAGTGCAGACAGGGGAGGCACAGGAGTGACTCCACTGTGTGAAGAGAAGACTGATGAGGGCCCATGTGGCACCTCAGGTAGGGTCTGCACTGTCTGGACTATGGTCAGGCCCCTGCCTGAGCCAGCCCTGCTCTCCAGTGTCCCCAAGGAATCCCTGAAACTAGCATCTCATGGAGGAGATAGACGATGCAGGAGGTCCCCTGTGCCCAGAACAAATGGTACAACAAGGCCCCTCTGTTCCCCAAACTGGTCTCAGCAAACTTTCCCCACAGCTTGGATCTGGGCAGGTCACAGGGCCCAAACCTCATGACCAGCAGTGCTGGACCAGGGGGCTAGAAGGGCAGGTGGAGCTCTCTGATGACATTGTGGAGAGGAGGGGTGCCAGGCAAGGGGTGTCCAGGCAGGGGGTGTCCAGGATACTGTCCTGAGAGCCTCTCCAGGGACAGATGCCCTTAGGGGCAGAGAAAAAGGCAACCGGGGAGACCAGAGGAGTCTGATGCAGATAAGGAGGGGCTCTGTCCAGTGATGTTTCTCCACAATGAGCTCTCCCGAGGACAAGCAGCCTGCTTTATAGGCGAACCCCATTGCACAGTGAGAAGACGAAGACTTCGGAACTCAGTTCCCTAGAACCTCTTCTCTCCCTGCATAGTCCAGCCCTATTGGTCCTTTCTGGTCTTGAAGGTCTTTAATGGAAACAAACCGCAAGGCCAAGGCCAGACCTGCCTGCCCTTCATGCCCATCTCCACGCAGCAGTTGAGTGTGGACTCTGCCTCCCCTGTCCCCCGAACAGTGAGTCCCCACCAGCCCCTCCAGGGACACAGTGCCAGCTCTGCAGCCCTCCCATCCCTCTGTCCATTCTTCTGCAGGCAGGATGGGCACTGTGGCTGGAGGAAGGCTCCTGATCCACTGCTTTGGGGGAATCTGATTTAGCACTCTACAGGGAACCCAACAGAGATCCAAAGCTGAGTACTGATTCAGAGAAAGAACATTTCTGCTAAGCTTAGGGCCTCAGGGAGGACAGATAATTATCTAAAGTTGACAGAACAATCAATTTTCTGGGTCTGAAGTTTACAAACAAAATCCCTCTCCTTTGAAGGCAGATTAGCCATGGAAACACCTTCTACATTGCCTGCCTAAATGGTTTGTCTCTGCAATCAATCTCTCTATTCTTTAAAACAGAATTAGGATAATTTGCGTAATTGTTTCTTGTCTCAGAGAAATCTTACAGGGAGGCTGTCTCCAGATAACCAGCAGCCTGGGCTCCAGGCCGACACCAAACCCACAGGCAGCCTTGTGGTAAGGCTCCAGGCTCTAGAGCCAAAGGATCTAGGTCAGAGGCTCCACCTGGGGCTCCTGCGCCCTCCCTGCCAGGGCGGCAGAGGGAGCCACATCCCTGAAAGCCTCTGGCTTAGGGACCTCAGAATTCCCACCTCTGATAAGGTAATGAAATGAGCCAAAGTTGATAAAAATCTGTGAACAAACTGGCCTACAGTGGCTAAAACCAGAGGGAGAAAAATAATGTGATAAACCCCCAAACCAGCCATCCTGGGAAGTTTCAAGGGGCTGCTGTGCTCCTGACTCCTCCCCCGCCTCCTGGAGCTGCCCAGGTGAGCAGACAGAGTTTTGAGAGCTGGCGCTGAGGCTCTGTGCCTGGAGACAGACACTGGGCAGGGACCCTCAACTTTCCTGTCCGTTTTGCGCAGTGAGTCAGAAACAGATGCTGGGGAGCAGCAAGCAAGCAGAGGGCTGCCTGTCTCAGAGGCAGGAGCATCCACCTCAGAGGATGCCAGGTGGGGAGATCCTGGACTGTGCCACCCCCAGGGAGGGCACAGGCACAGCAGGCCTCTCAGCAGGAGCTCGGGGGTGGAGTAGAGACCAGGGATTCCATAAGACTCCCCACTGCTCCCCATTCCCTAAGGTGCAGCAAAACGTCTCCGCTTCTATGAGGACAGTCCAGACGTCCCCAGCTTCCCCTAGAGCAGACAGAAGGCCTGAGGCCCTGGGAAACCCACGTGCCCACTGGAAGTGGGGAGTAAAAAGACAGAAGGGACCCGTCTGGAAACAAAACCAGTCAAGAACCAGACTCACCACTGCTTCAGAAAATATGGGGAAATGTGAGCGTGAATTTCATAAAGCACAGTCAGCAAGCCACGAGGAGGGCCAGCGTCTGATGGACAGGGAGACTGCAGACCCCAGGAAGCAGCAGGAGAACAAGGATTCCCTCTATGATTTCCCACGGCTGATGCTCCCGACCTGGTTTCCCTTCACTGGTGCTCCTCCTGTGTTCCACACTGGATACTATCCTGCCAATCCACGCCCCTTGCTGGCCTTCAGTGAGGTGGAACTCACCACACTCTGGCCTCTTTCTCCACTTCTCTTGCTACTGTCCATTTGCAAAGATCTCAGATGGCTGCACCATGTGTTCTGACCAGAGAAAGACTGCAACCACCTTTGCAAAGCTTATGACAGCGAGGGAGGTCACGCATGACTGACTCCACCTTACCTCTAGCCTCACAGGCAGGCTGTCCTGCTCATGCTTGGGCACAGGCTAAACTAATCCGGGGAGAAATTTAGTTATAAAACAATACTAGTCCCTCTCTAAAACTAAAGCCCTCCTTCCTTGAGGACCAAAAACGAATGAAAGGCCACGTGATTAGGATTTCGGGAGGAGCCCGAACTCTGCTAAAATGTAGACATAGTTTCCGTAATTCCTTATTGTTCAGAAGTCATATGGCTAGAAGTCACACAATTTGTGACTTCTCCAATTGCTTCTGTAGATAACAACACTATTGTAGAGCCTGAGTTTGGTTTTTTCAGCTGTTTTCCAGATTTTTGCATTCTGCCAACCGACTGACCCTACCCAGACCCATGGCTCATGACTCAACTGGTCCTATGCACTCCCACCTCCCCACCCAGAGGCAGACTCCGTGACAGGATCGTTTTCTACACCCTATGACTGCATCCCTAAACAATCAACCGCACCCACTCCCTGGTCCTCTGCCCACCAAACAATCCTTGAAAAACCCAAACCTCCCGTTCTTCTGGGAGACTGATTTGAGTAGCAGCTCCTTCTCCCACGTGGCTAGCTGCATCAATTAAACTGTTTCTTTAGTGCAGTACCACAGTCTCGGTGAATTGGTTTTGTCTGTACAGTGGGTGGGAAGAACCCATTGGGCAACTGCAAGACAGTTCAGCGTGCTTGCTCATCGTACTGGAAATAAAACCTATTTGTAGGGTCAAAGGGGCAAAGTTGTCCCATGTTATTCCCTTTTGGGGAGTTATCTGTTGGGTGTTTCTAGCCTGCTGCAAGCTAGGATAAAGCAGAGGTCCTCGTGCCTCTCCTCCAGGACCCCATACAAACACCTTGTCCTCCATGAAGAACCCGGGACCTGCAGCCCTCCTCTCCTGTGACCTTCCCAGTCACTTCATCCTCATCTCGGGGTGCTGCCAGCTGAATGTGCTGTGCTCACTGGCTGCACCACTACCCCCGTGCACACACACTCCTGCAGATGAGAGCTGCCAAGGCAGAGAGTGAACTTTTCTGATTTGACATTCCCTGTACATTTGTGCCTTGACACGCCACACAAATACAGTGTGCAGACACCAGTAAAAACAGAGAAAAGGTGGGGACATAAAGGCCCAGACGTAAGAGTGGGCAAGGGTGCCCTCTGGTTCATTTCACTCTGCAGTCGACTCCCAAGGTGAACCTAGTGAATTCTGCCTCAGAAGCCCTGGTTTCCTTGTCTCTGACACTGAATCCACAGTAGCCATGATCCACGTTTATTGGATCACCAGTATTTTGAGGAATGTTAGTATCATTCTACAAAAAATATTTTAAAAATTGATTTCTATAATCAGGAAATTTCAGGAAACCCTGAGTAAAAATGATTGATTATTGCAAAACTTCTCTGAAGCTTTCACAAACAAATGTGTGCTCATCTCCAAGGCGAAAGTAAAGTAGGGAACCTGCCCCAAATTTATGAGTCAGTTCAGTGCTTTTCTGTGATCAAATCGGTGTTCTGTCAAGTGCAATGTGGAAAAGGTAATACTGAGGGTCATTTAACTGGCATGTCCAGCGCAGTGCGGAAAAGGGAACATTCCAGGGTCATCTACTCGGCAGCCTCCAAAGGCTGGCACAGTGTATCTTACTTCTCTTCTGCGTTTCTAGCGCCTTCATTAGACCTGAGACGTGGAAATGGCCTAGGAGATCTTATTAACAGTGACGTAGGAATAGGAGTAATTAATTATGTTACAGTAATAGTTGGGTTTTGCATGTTCTAAGCTGGGCTCAGGAAAAGGCCAATAGAAAGGGGCAAATATGGAGTATTTCCTGGTCTTAAGACGCGGGCAGCATGGAGCAGCCAGCTGAGAGTCAAAGGTGGCCAGGGAGTATTTGCCCCCGGATGCCTGCACTGGGAATGGAGAGGTCAGTGTCCTGTCCATCGCATGCCCAGGCATAAGGAAATGGGGCATAAAGCTGGTCATCCCCACCAAAACCAGGGGAGACTTAATGGTCCTGAGGCTAAGTTTTGAGAAGTTCAGCAAATGGCAGACGTGGTAGGATTTCCCCCACAGGCTTCACCTGGATGCACTCCTGTATCCCTGAGGGCATTCCATAGTAAACTGTTGTAAAGGAGCAGACAGGGAGATGCAGAGCCTAGTGTGGTGGGATGGGTGATGGGGCGAGGTGTCCCCAACCTGAACAAGGAAGGCCAAACTGATTCCCCAGGTCTGCCGTGCTCGGGAGATGCGGCCCCTCAGCCCCTTGCTTGAACTCCTTTTGATGAGGTCAGCTGCCTCCCAAGAACAGGCTTTGGCAGCCTGAAAAAGTGCCCAGCACAGCCCTCAGACCACCCTCAGCCTTTCCCCAGACACTGGGCTGCAGTAGCTGAGATAAATGCAGGAGACCGTTCATTAAACCTACAAGGCGAACTGTCTGACCCGGCTGCAAGAAGGTGATTTCACAGGGTGCTGTTTTGGGGAGGTAAGGGACTTACCTGAGCTGCCAGTGGGAAAAAAATGCGTCTCACTGAAGTTGAAATGGCACAATCAGAAGCACTGAGGCCCAGTGCTGGCCCGCCCATGCCATGGACGACATAAGGACTGTTGGAGAAGAGGAGACGTGAACAGTGTGCAGCTTCCCGCCCATGCCATGGACAACACAAGGACTGTTGGAGAAGAGGAGGAAATGTGAATAGTATGCAGCTTCCCGCACACACTGCACCCAGGACTGTTGGAGAAGAGGAGGAGATGTGAACAGTATGCAGCTTCCCGCACACACTGCACCCAGGACTGTTGGAGAAGAGGAGGAAATGTGAACAGTATGCAGCTTCCCGCCCATGCCATGGACGACATAAGGACTTTTGGAGAAGAGGAGGAAACGTGAATAGTATGCAGCTTCCCGCACACACTGCACCCAGGACTGTTGGAGAAGAGGAGGAGATGTGAACAGTATGCAGCTTCCCGCGCTGCCACGCACACTGCACGCGTTGATTGGGTCCCTCGGTACTCAGGCAGCCTCCAAGGCAGGCTTTGCCATTCCTGTTCCCATTTCACAGTTGAAGAAGTGAGGTTCAGAGCTGTGAAGTAAAGGGGCTCGGGTTCAAGCTGGGCTGCCAAATGCTGAGGTGCAGCCCCTGAGGACTTCATAAAAGTCACCCTCTGTGGGAAGAGCTGCCACGGGGCATCATCTGTAGCATCTGGAAGGAACGCCAGTAATCCCACCGTCCCACAGTCATTTCCCCGAGATCTTAGGTCTCAAATGCCTTTGAAAATTCATTTTACATGGCTTTCTCCTCTGTTATATTTCGATCCCCAGGGCATGGTGTATGTGCTAGTTGCCATTTCTAGCCTCAGCCTACTTTATGTAGGCACTGAGCAAATGCTGAATGAATCATTACACATGTTCACTGAGCTTTTTTTGAGAACTCTGACTGGTTGAAGTATTTACTACTCACTCTGGGAACTTGAAACAAAAAGCGACTAAATGACAGAGGCTGGGCCTGAGAGCACAGGTTGCATCGTGCTGGGGGAGGTCCCCTGTGCAGGGCACCATCCCTCACCCACTCACCCGCTCACTCACTCATTCTTCCTTTCACTGGACTCTGTCAACTGGGGGTTCCCACGTGCCACGCCCCGTGCAAGGTGCTGGGTACACAGCAGTGAATGCTGACAATGGTCATGATAATAGGGCTTACCATGTGCGATGCTCTAAGACTAACACACTTCACATCTAGGCACTCACAATAGTGCTTACCACGTGCAATGCTCTAAGGCTAACACACTTCACATCTAGGCACTCTCAAACACACAGCTGTGCTCATTCAATCCCCTTCACAGCCCCAAAGGCAGGCACCACGTTACCCATCTGACTGATGGCAGCAACTTGCTCACACTAACGAATGCCTAACGAGCTGGGGTTTCCTTCCTCGCAGGGCTCACACTCCTACAGGGAAAAGAAACAAAAAGCATGAGAAATAAAAACTGGAAATGAAGAAAATAAAACCAGGTGGGAGGACAGGCAATTGCAGAAGGGGAGGTGGGGGGTGACAGGCAAACCAGGAACTGAGTCATGGAAATGACCCTGTAGTCCTGCGGGGCAGTGCACCTGAGCCCAGGCTGGAGGGCAAGGAGCTGGGTGTATCAAGGCAGTGAGTGGTCAGGCCCACAGACGTGAGAAGCAGGGATGGGAGAACTTGAGACAGGAGACCAGCAAGGGAAAGACAGGCCCACACAGGCAAGGCCCACACAGGAAGGCCCACATGTGGCTGGTGTCTCTGCCATGAACTACCTTCTGCCAGGCTTCCTTGACCACCCCACAAGCCTCCCTGAGGCCAGGGCCACATCCAGAAACTTCACAGAGAGCTACACCCTTCACACTGCTGTTTTAACTTAACAAGCTGTAGTTTGAAAGAGAACTCAGCAAAGCACTCGTGTAATTTCATTAACTTTCTCTCATCTTCTCAGCTGGGCATCTGCAGTTAATAATGTGCATTTGAGGAAAGAAAAATAAAAGGCATCAAAGGCCAGGTTAGAGACAGGGCAGGGACGGGAGCTCTAGGCCAGTGGGTTGTGTTTTTCTGACGTGTGCTCCAGCTGCTGTCAGCTGACTCTAGCCAGTCCCCAGGCCCCGACTCAGGTGCCACCTGGTTGAGGACCTCCAGGGAGTCCTGCTGTGAACGAAAACCCATTGTGATAGGGGCATGCATCCCCTTTGCCACCCCCTCCTCACACACCTGCTTTGGGTTGGGGGTGTGTCTCCTGCTGAACCACAGCACTGCCCCATTTTGGGTAGGACAAGTTCATTTCCATCTTGGAAGAATAGTCCACTCACCAAGGTGTTTGGCAGCTACATATAAACAGAACTTTCAATGAAAGGTTGGAATGCTCATCCTGTCCCACTCCATGTGTGATAGCGTCTGGAACCCTTTCCAGCAGGTCTATTCAACATCAATACAGCAATCTGGGCACACGTCTCGGCCCTGCCCTCACCCGGGGCTGTGGGCACAACTGGGATGCTCAGAGGTGGGCAGGCAAGTGTCATCTCACAGGTGCAGATGTCAAGGCTCTGAGGACACTGTGACCACCCAGCCCACACACGATGGCGGAGGGAAGATCCTGGCCATTTGTGGCCCACCCAGTTTTCCACCGCTCTCTATTTTCCCTACATCCCCACTTCCTCTGCTCCTCTGCAGAGCATGGAGCCCCTTCCACATGTACAAGAGGTGCTGAGTGGGACCGTGGCTGAGAGAAGGCTGCCAGGCTGTGCCCTGTGGTGCGGTGGGCCTGGAGTGTGGGGAGGACTGCAGCGTCTGCAGGTAGGGCACCTGCCATGAGCGGGTCCTCTCCCATCTGACCCTCCTGCCCCCACATCTAGTTCTTCTCTTGCTGCCAGGTTCTACTCATTGGTAAGGTCTGCCTCTTGCTGGAAGCCCTTCCTCCACTCCTGTCGTCCTCAGAAGGGTGACCCTAGAACTCCTGAGGGTGGCATTCAAGAACTTCCCAGCACCACAGATGCTCAAACTGTTTCTTCTCAGGGTCAAAACCACAATGCTGAAATATCATCTCTTCTGAAACTATTCCAATCAATAGAAAAAGAGGGAATCCTCCCTAACTCATTATATGAGGCCAGCATCATTCTGATACCAAAGCCGGGCAGAGACACAACCAAAAAAGAGAATTTTAGACCAATATCCTTGATGAACATTGATGCAAAAATCCTCAATAAAATACTGGCAAAACGAATCCAGCAGCACATCAAAAAGCTTATCCACCATGATCAAGTGGGCTTCATCCCTGGGATGCAAGGCTGGTTCAATATACGCAAATCAATAAATGTAATCCAGCATATAAACAGAGCCAAAGACAAAAACCACATGATTATCTCAATAGATGCAGAAAAGGCCTTTGACAAAATTCAACAACCCTTCATGCTAAAAACTCTCAATAAATTAGGTATTGATGGGACGTATTTCAAAATAATAAGAGCTATCTATGACAAACCCACAGCCAATATCATACTGAATGGGCAAAAACTGGAAGCATTCCCTTTGAAAACTGGCACAAGACAGGGATGCCCTCTCTCACCACTCCTATTCAACATAGTGTTGGAAGTTCTGGCCAGGGCAATTAGGCAGGAGAAGGAAATAAAGGGTATTCAATTAGGAAAAGAGGAAGTCAAATTGTCCCTGTTTGCAGATGACATGATTGTATATCTAGAAAACCCCATTGTCTCAGCTCAAAATCTCCTTAAGCTGATAAGCAACTTCAGCAAAGTCTCAGGATACAAAATCAATGTGCAAAAATCACAAGCATTCCTATACACCAACAACAGACAAACAGAGAGCCAAATCATGAGTGAACTCCCATTCACAATTGCTTCAAAGAGAATAAAATACCTAGGAATCCAACTTACAAGGGATGTGAAGGACCTCTTCAAGGAGAACTACAAACCACTGCTCAAGGAAATAAAAGAGGATACAAACAAATGGAAGAACATTCCATGCTCATGGGTAGGAAGAATCAATATCATGAAAATGGCCATACTGCCCAAGGTAATTTATAGATTCAATGCCATCCCCATCAAGCTACCAATGACTTTCTTCACACAATTGGAAAAAACTACTTTAAAGTTCATATGGAACCAAAAAAGAGCCTGCATCGCCACGTCAATCCTAAGCCAAAAGAACAAAGCTGGAGGCATCACACTACCTGACTTCAAACTATACTACAAGGCTACAGTAACCAAAACAGCATGGTACTGGTACCAAAACAGAGATATAGATCAATGGAACAGAACAGAGCCCTCAGAAATAACGCTGCATATCTACAACTATCTGATCTTTGACAAACCTGAGAAAAACAAGCAATGGGGAAAGGATTCCCTGTTTAACAAATGGTGCTGGGAAAACTGGCTAGCCATATGTAGAAAGCTGAAACTGGATCCCTTCCTTACACCTTATACAAAAATCAATTCAAGATGGATTAAAGACTTAAACGTTAGACCTAAAACCATAAAAACCCTAGAAGAAAACCTAGGCATTACCGTTCAGGACATAGGCATGGGCAAGGACTTCATGTCTAAAACCCCAAAAGCAATGGCAACAAAAGCCAAAATTGACCAATGGGATCTAATTAAACTAAAGAGCTTCTGCACAGCAAAAGAAACTACCATCAGAGTGAACAGGCAACCTACAACATGGGAGAAAATTTTTGCAACCTACTCATCTGTCAAAGGGCTAATATCCAGAATCTACAATGAACTCAAACAAATTTACAAGAAAAAAACAAACAACCGCATCAAAAAGTGGGCAAAGGATATGAACAGACACTTCTCAAAAGAAGACATTTATGCAGCCAAAAAACACATGAAAAAATGCTCACCATCACTGGCCATCAGAGAAATGCAAATCAAAACCACAATGAGATACCATCTCACACCAGTTAGAATGGCGATCATTAAAAAGTCAGGAAACAACAGGTGCTGGAGAGGATGTGGAGAAATAGGAACACTTTTACACTGTTGGTGGGACTGTAAACTAGTTCAACCATTGTGGAAGTCAGTGTGGCGATTCCTCAGGGATCTAGAACTAGAAATACCATTTGACCCAGCCATCCCATTACTGGGTATATACCCAAAGGACTATAAATCATGCTGCTATAAAGACACATGCACACGTATGTTTACTGCAGCACTATTCACAATAGCAAAGACTTGGAACCAACCCAAATGTCCAACAATGATAGACTGGATTAAGAAAATGTGGCACATATACACCATGGAATACTATGCAGCCATAAAAAATGATGAGTTCATGTCCTTTGTAGGGACATGGATGAAATTGGAAATCATCATTCTCAGTAAACTATCGCAAGAACAAAAAACCAAACACCTCATGTTCTCACTCATAGGTGGGAATTGAACAATGAAAACACATAGAAACAGGAAGGGGAACATCACACCCTGGGGACTGTTGTGGGGTGGGGGGAGGGGGGAAGGATAGCACTGGGAGACATACCTAATGCTAAATGACGAGTTAATGGGTGCAGCACACCAGCATGGCACATGTATACGTATGTAACAAACCTGCACAATGTGCACATGTACCCTAAAACTTAAAGTATAATAATTAAAAAAAAAATTAAAAAAAAAAAAAGAAATATCATCTCACCCCAGTTGTGATGGCGTTCATCAAAAAGACAAAAAATAACCAAGGGAACTCTTGACACTGTTGGTGGGAATGTAAACCAGTACAGCTACTGTGGAAAGCAGTGTGGAGGTTCCTCACAGAACTACAAACAGAACTGAGGTAGGAGGTGGGACTCAACTCCAGAGGTGGGGCTCGAACACCGGACCAGATTGAGGACTAGCTAAAACAGGGCTGGGGCGGAAGCAGCTTTCAATCAGACACACCCACCAGTGCCATGGAAGTTTATCGTTGCCATGACGACACCGGGAGTTACCGCTCCTTTCCATGGCAATGACTCAATGACCCAAAAGTTACTATGCCTTCCTTAGAAATTTCTGCATAAACCGTCTTTAATCCGCGTGAAATTAAAAGTGGATTAAACATGACTGCAAAACTGCCCCGAGCTGCTCTTCTCTTCTTACAGGGCAGAGAGGGTAGCCCTGCTCTGCAGGAACCGTCTCAGAGCTGTAACATTTCTTCTTTATTAATAAAGCTGTTTTTGGCCGGGCACAGTGGCTCACGCCTGTCATCCCAGCACTTTGGGAGGCTGAGGTGGGCGGATCACGAGGTGGGAAATTCAAAACCAGCCTGGCCAAAATGTTGAAACCCCGTCTCTACTAAAAATACAAAAATTAGGTGGGCGTCGTGGTGCGTGCCTGTAATCCCAGCTACTTGGGAGGCTGAGGCAGGAGAATCTCTTCAACCCAGGAGGCGGAGGTTATAATGAGCCGAGATCGCTCCACTGCACTCCAGCCTGGGTGACAGAGCAAGATTCCGTCTCTAAATAAATAAAGCTGTTTTCTTCTTCCTTTGGCTTGCCCTTGAATTCTTTCCTGGGCAAAGGCAAGAACCCTTGCAGACTAAACTCCACCTTGGGGCTCACCTGCCCCACATCAGAACTACCATAAGATCCAGCAATCCCACTCCTGGACATTTATCCAAAGGAAAGGAATCGGTATATCAAACCAATATCTGCAACCCCATGTTTATTGACAATAGTCAAGACGTGGAATCAACCTAGGTGTCCAACAGCAGATGACTGGATAAAAAACGTGGTATATACACACAGTGGAATACTAGTCATCTGTAAAAAAAAATGAAGTCCTGTCATTCATGGCAAAACGGATGGAACTGGAGGACATTATGGTAAGTGAAATAAGCCAGGAACAGAAAGTTAAATACTGAATGTTCTCACTGACATGTGGAAACTTTAAAAAATGTTGCTCTCATAGAAGTAAAAAGTAGAACAGAGGATATTAGAGGCTGGGAAGGGGAGGGAGAGGGGACGGATAGGGAGAGATTTTTTAAAGGATATGGAATTACAGCTGGATGGGAAAAATAAGTCCTATGGTTCTTTGGCACTGTAGGGTGACTATAGTTAACTATAATTCATAGTTTCAGATAGCTAGGAGGAGAAATTATCGTGTTTGAGACGATGGATGTGTTCGCCACCCTGATCTAATCCTTGATTCATTCTATGTACTGCAGCATCCCTGTGAACCCCACGAATATGTGCCATATTGTGTCAATTAAAAAAATAATAAGAAGTAATTGAGAACCCTAATAAGTATGGTTTATCTATTAACATTTACCATGTTAAAGATGAAAATGGAGAACAATTTAAAATCTTAAGAGTATTAGTCTCTAGAGGGACAGGACTAATAGGATAGAAGTGTATATGAAAGGGAGTTTATTAAGTAGTATTGACTCACACGATCACAGGGTGAAGTCCCACAGTAGGCTGCAAGCCGAGGAACAAGGAAGCCAGTCTGAGTCCCAAAACCTCAAAAGTAGGGAAGCCGACAGTGCAGCCTTCAGTCTGGGGCCAAAGGCCCGAGAGCCCCTGGCAAACCACTGGTGTAAATCCAAGAGTCCAAAACTGAAGAACTTGGAGTCCGGTATTCAAGGGCAGGAGGCATCCAGCGTGGGAGAAAGATGAAGGCCGGAAGACTCAGCCAGTCTCGTCCTTCCGCATTTCTCTGCCTGCTTTTATCCCAGCCACACTGGCAACTGATGAGATGATGCCCACCCAGATTGAGGGTGGGTCTGCCTCTCCCAGGTCCACTGACTCAAATGTGAATCTCCCTTGGCAACACTCTCACGGACGCACCCAGGAACAATACTCTGCATCTTTCAATCCAATCAAGTTGACAATAGTAACCATCACATTAAGTAACCAATTAGTGAAAACTCATAATGAATCCATTATGCTAATGAACATCAAGGATTATGTTATGTTCATAACATAACATGTTACGAAAATAACTATATTTTCTTTAGAAACTGGTGACAGGAGTAGCATTGTTTAGATGTGTGAATGCTCCTGCTGCCTGGCTCCTGGGAAACAAGTTTCCCATGTGGAATTCTGTATTCAGTCTGCAGTGACATCACACGTCAGTTGCCTCTGCACACTTGTGAGAGAACGGGAGTGGAAAAGGCACTCAACACTTCAGCCATGAGAGGAAACCTGTTTGAACTAAGAGTCCCCTAAGAGGGGAGCCAGCACCACTTAAAAACCTTTAAGTACTCTCAATAGAAATCTTTAGTTCACAAGATGTTTTACAAATACCTTATCCTAGTCTCCATATCATTTGTGGAAGGGAAAGTTTAGATTTTATTATTATTTTTTAAAAAATTATTATAGATATATTTATTATTAAATTTTAGTCAATTTTATTAATCTTTTGATCATGTGATTTTTCTATGTATTTTGCGAAATCCACAAAATGTATTCAAAATATATTTTCTTATATTTTCATCTAAAGAGTCTTGCTATATTTATAAAGTTTCTCAGTCCACCTGAAAATAACCTTTGTGTATGTCTTGAGGTATAGATCTAAAGGTATCTTTTTTCAAAATGAAGAGCCAATTGCCCAAACGATTGGGCACTTTATTTGTTTTCTAATAGACTAAGTTTCAACACAGAAGAGGGTCTTCTTTGGTGCTCTGTACTCTTTTCCTTTGGTCTATTTTTCTCTTCTACCAAGATATCATGTGGCTGTAATTGCAATGGATTTATATGGTGTGCTTATATCTGGTGTAATGTATCCTCGACTTACTTTTTCTCCTTTAAAAGTATCTTGGTTATTATTGTCCTGTATTGTTTTTGGAGTCAGCCAGTCAAGTTTTAAAAAACACGTAAACAGATGCAGGTGAACGTGTCCCCATGGGTGTGTGCTTGGTGGGAACTGCATCAAATTCATCACCTCACTTGGGGAGACTTCATCGCTTTACCATGCAGGTCTCACCACACCTCCCCATTTATAGACATCTTTAAAAATATTCTTCACTGATATCTTTATTTTTTCATAAAGTTATTACCCTTGTCTTAGTTGATGTATTCCTAGGTAACTGATAACTTTTGTTGATGTCAAATGAAATTGCTTTTTATAATTATGAATTGGGTACTGCTGATAGTTTTGTTTACTAGTCTTGTGTCCAGTTGAACTCTCTTATTTGTTATGACCTTTTAAAATGTAGATTTTTATAGGGTCAATAAAGAATGATGGTTTCCTTTTATTCCTGACCCATTGTTCCACATTTAGTTCATTTTCTTGCATTATTGCACAAGCCGGTAACTCTACCCGAGGTTGCATAGAAAGGGTACATAGAAAGGGCATATCTTTGCCTTGCTCCTACCTCCCAAAGGCAGTTTCTGAAGCTTCACTGTCACATGTGGTGGCTGCTTTTTCTAGTCTATGATTTAGATGCTGCTTTTGCATCAACTTAGCTGTGGATTTTTTTTTTAATGAAGTTTCACTCTGTTCCCCAGCCTGGAGTGCAGTTGTGCAATCTTAGCTCCTGCAGGCCTAAGTGCTCTCTATAAACCCCAAGTGCAGCAGGCGGGAGGAGACTCTGGCTATGCACAAAGTTTGCTGGTGGGAGGACAGAGCCAGGAACTCTGTGTGTGTCAGTAAAATGTTGGGGTGACAGTCACCTGGGGGGAAAGCCATCACAGAGGCACTGACATGAGCTGTGTGCATTGGGCAGTCTCTCCACCTCCAAGGGCCTCAGTGTCCTCTCAGGTGTGAGGGTCAGTGGTCCCCGTGGCCTACTGCCACATTCATTGAAATGCTACATGTCCAGAATATGCTATTTACTGGGGGGATAAAGGGAAAGAAATATACTTTGCGCATATTTCATACGGAAGACAATAGTGATAATGCTTCAATTAGTGCATTGGAGATGCCAGGTTGATTGTAAATGAAATTGTGCTGAGATCTCAGCTCTGCACCATAATTGCACTAAGTTTTTTGAATAGAAAACACTTTATCAAAGTTGTGACTTAGTGAGGAGAGATTGCTAATGTTTTTTGCAATGGAGTCTGTTGCTTTATCACATCAAAGATTTTGTTACAAATGCATGCCAGGTGACCTATGAAGTCATAAGCCTGCAGTAACTCACCTGGCTGGTGTAGAGGAGTGTAATTCTAACACGGCCATCCCTGTGGTAAGGGGAAAGGAAAACACTGAAAGGTTGCTTCTCTGTGAACAGAGTGGCTGTTTCCAGGTTTCTGACCCCAAGGACGTGGGTTCCAGTGGACACAGTGAGCCAGGCTGTGGGGTTACACAGCATGTACCATGATGATGGGGGTTCCTTCCTCTTAGGACTCAACACGCCCAGGGCCCTCTGGAAGCACACTCTGGAAGCTGTCCTTCTGCTCTGTTGAGGGGTAAAGAGTTGGTGAATCACCCCCAACCCCTCTAGTCCTTACTCAGTTTCCATCTAACACTACAGATGGGGCCTCATTATACAGATGCAGAAACAGAGACCCTGAGAGAGGTCTGGCCAGGCTGAGGCCCACAGTGAGTTCGTGATAAGGTAGGACCAGAGCCTGGGTCTCAGGCTCACGGTGCTCTCTGTGACCCCACTAGGTCAATCCTCTGTAACCTGCTTTAAGGGAAACAGGGTGGGGCCACACTCCCCGCAGCTCAGTCTGACCCTGTGGATCTGTGGCCTGAGAGTAGGACACATGCACCAGAATAGGTGATTCGGAGCCTGTGGTCCACTCTCAGCCTGTGTCCCCCACCCCACAGGCAGGGCCACTGCTTCCAGATTAAAGGAAAGGTGAGTTACTTAGCGCTCATTAACTCACGAAGTCAGAGGTAATCAAGACCAGATTGAACTTCCGTCCAATCGACTTAGGCACTCTCATGTTTAAAAATCCATATGGGGAAAATAATGCAAGAACGTAATTTTTTAAAAAGAATGTGGAAAAGTGGTGTAAAACTGTTAATTGTTCTTAATGTGAGCTGCAACTTTGGCCTCACTGTGGCTGCTCCGTGACGGATACTGAATGGCGGTGGGGCTCCTTGGAGCTTGCTGAGGGTTCCCGCCTGTATCCACTTTCCCTCCAGTCACATTATTTTAAGAAGGGAAACTGCCCCCCATTCCCTGCCTCCCTGCTTCCTTTGTGGTCCTTGGGAAAAAGAAATTCCACGAAGAAACTAGTCTGTGCTGCTGGGGTAAGGACAGTGTTTTCCCTGGAGGAGGCCACGCTGGAGGGACCACAGAGGCACTGCGGGCAGCTCACACCCTGCTCCAGTGTCCAGGTAATGGCCACAGGGTGAGCTTGGTTTTTCAAAATCTACTGAGCACTTTTCTGTAAGTACATGATATTTCAATGAAGCATTATGAAATTATATTATCAGAAGCCAAATTTGGTTTGTTTCCATTGGGTTTTCAAGGTCTATTTTATTCCTATCCTTTCCTTTTTCTTTACATTTTCTCCTCTTCTTTAACTAAAAAAACCTCTATAAGTTTGAAAGACTCTCAGGTCTTCAGGATAAAATGCGAATTGGTGCTTTAAGCTTTGTCCCTTCCTGCAGTGGGACTCACAGTCCCCTTTCAGAGACCTGCTTGGTCAAGGGTAGTTATGGGAGTTTAGCGTCAGCTTGGGCAGCCTTCCCTGCTTCATGAGCTGACCCACTAGGGGCAGGATCACATGAACACACGTCCTCATCTCTGACACCCTGAGACCTTAAGCAGCAAGTGCAAAGGGAGGACATCCTATGAGTCTCCCTCCTGTGGCCTCAGGTGGGAGGCCACAAGTATGCTCACAGCTCCCGCTCCTGGTGCCTGGCAGCTCAGACCGTAGCTACTTCTCTAGGATTTTTGCACCCAACTCACACTCTCTCCATCCAAGACTCAAACAGTGTCCCCCTGCCTTATGCCCGGTCACCCTGTTCTCTTCTGCGTCCAGCCTCAGTTGTTCCTCCTGACCCAGCCCCTGCTTCAGCCCAGGACCACCTGAAGCCTCCCCTCTGGGTTCCAGCACTTCCCTCCGTCATGATCTGCACTCCTGCTTTTTCTCGCATGATTTCCCCTCCTGCCACTCCTCACCATCTAAAACAGTGTTCACTTCTGTTTTGCTGTATTGTCTGGCTGTCCTGTATGTGTCTGAGCTCATGAGGGATATTGCATCCCTGTACCCAGGAGAGTGTCTGGCAGAGAGCAGGTGCTGCGCAAACAAGCAATACATGAGTAAGCAAGTGAGCCAGAGAGTACAGGCAGTACCCATATGCCACAGCTTCCCATGCGGCTCTACTAGGAATCACTCTGCTCCACGGCCAAGGCCTCCCCTCCCTGTGTCGGTGTCCCCGGCTCCATGGCCAAGGTGTTGCCTCCTACTGAACGATTCTGAGATGCCTGAACACCATGTGGTTAATCCCAGAGGAAAGTTTCACCGTTGGAATCCAGGCCCTGGCAGGAACTCAGAAGGGGGCCTTTGTCAGCTGCCCTCATCTCCCTTTGGTGAGAGAGCACATTAAAGGCCGAGAGTCCATCCATGAGAGCAGCGCCGGGCGACACACGTAACTGCTAAATGAATGAGTGAACAATGAACAAACTCTGGAGGCAGAGTCCTTAGGGGTTGGCCCGGTCTCCGAATTTCCCTGTGCCGTGAGTGCTGGCCCCCAAGAGGGTTCCGCTGGGCCTTCTCAGACCTCCTCAGGCTCAGCAGCGCCGGATCATGACATCACCACTCATTCCCAGCTCTCCCTGGGATAGTCTCTCAAATGATTAGTGCCAACAATCCTTGACTCCAGCTCTGTTTCTTGTGTAATTCAAAATAAGCACAAACCTTAAAGTATATCTGATTATTGTCCCCATTTTAACAGGAGGAAACAAGCACAGACAGGTTTAGTTACCTGTCCAGGAGCACACAGTGAGCATTGGCAGAGCCAACGTATTTTTCCCCAGTCTGACTCCAGAGCTGGGCCTCTACCCAGGGTGCCACACGCGGTGCAACGCGGTGGGGACAAGGGTCTCTTGTACAATGTGAGGATGGCTGGGGTGAGCCAGGCCCAACACACAGGCCACGTGGAGAGGCCCAATGCGAGGCCACAAGCTGGGGCATCTCCAAGGAAGATCAGCCCCAGACTCCATCCCTGTGCCTCCTGGTCTTCCCGGCCCTCCCCAGACACTCAAGGCATGGGAAGGCTGTGACTGACCATGGCAGGCTGGGTGCTGGGGGCCCAGGGCAGAGGTGGGGGCTGTACCTCCACACAGCCCCCATAGGCAGCAGCCTTGGAGATCTCTCCCTTAGCAGAGGCAGGGCTGTGTCCCTCCCTACACACCCACACTTCTCTCTGGGCACACAGTGACTGGGCAGGCAGAGGGTCTCTTCCTCTTGCTGGCCATTCCTGGTATTTCCCCAGTGCCACTCTCCAAGCCTCTCTGCCTGGGTTTCAGAAGGGAGGATGGTGTTACCGCAGTCTGGAGGCCCCTGTGCCAAGGTCTTTCAGGACCCATAGGATCATCTTGGAGAAGAATCGTCTGTGCACACACAGCCACATGGAGGCCAGATGACCCTGGGTTCAAGAGATGCCTCTAGGGATGCATCAATCTCCAACGATTTCCCAGTCGTTTCAGAGCCAGGATGAGAATCCAAATGCTTGTTTACTGCAGTGAGCTTTCAGTTTAGTTTCTTATTAAATATAACTATGCATAATAGGCAACCCCATTCCCACACCAAAGCTGCAAGCATATTGCAAGTACCAGTTTATCTGTTGGGTAGGCAGAGGCGTTTAGCAGCATCATTTCAGAAGCGGAAGGAGAGTTTCCCCACACTATCCTGCAGGAAGCTTGGCAGAAGCCCAGATGCACATCCTGGATGCTGCCCAGCATCATGGCAGGAAAACGGGTTCAGAGCCACAGGCTGAGGCCTGGGGGACTTCACAGACAACTAGGACAGTTCTGACATTTGCTTCCCTCTTGACCACCTGCTTTGCCTGCTTTGCAAGGATGGACAGAGAACAGCACTAACATGCATGAAAATGAACCACACCCTGTGGTGGTGTCCCACTTAGCTGGTGGGGTCTACGGTGAGAGAATCGGCATGTATGTGTCCTGGGCCAGCAGCTGTCCTCAGGATGGACACTGAGGTCAGGTCCAGAGCAACTAATTGATGTCAGATCTGTGAGTTGCCTCTGATCAGCCAATCTGAGTAGCATGTTTATTAGAACATTTTTGCATTTGGGGGAACCAGAAGTGAGCTGATCTGCATATAGGCCAGCCTTTCTGCATAGGGCACAGCGTATGTGCAGGCAGGCTAGCTTATGTACAAACAGCCCACTATGTGTGACGTGGAACAGTCACTCTGCAAATAGAGCAGCTGTCCCCACATGGGCTACTACTTAGACCAAGCTTCTCCAACCTGCAGTCTGCGGGCTGCGTGAAGCCAGACACAGCTTCGAATGGGACCCAACACAAAATCGTCACATTTCTTAAAACTATGAGAATTTCTTCACGATTTTTTTAGCTCATCATCAGCTATCATTAGTGTTAATGTATTTTATGTGTGGCTAAAGACACTTCTTCTTCCAATGTGGCTCAGGGAAGCCACAAGATTGGACACCCCTGATCTAGATGCAAGATGCTATTTTGGAAGATGGTGTTAGTGATAATTATTTCAATCCCTGGCAGGGGGGCCCTGAACAAGCTACTCCTCTCAGAGTTCCTGCAGTCTTCCTGGGGGTGGCACCTTCAGCTTGTTCTGTGCCCATCAGCGTTATCAGCCCAGTGCTTGGGCACCTGGAAGGCATCTCCTGTTCATTCCCGGCTGCCAGGGTGACAGAGGCTTGTGTTTTGCGATGTACCGATGGTTTATTTTAATTAGGTATGATAAGATGACAAACATGGAGACAGCTGTCTTGAAAGGAGAGTTTATTACTTAAGGTTCCCAAGAGGAGGGGGCATGGCATACCAGGCAAGGCCATGTGGGAAAGCACCAGCTCAGCCGGGAGGCAGCAGGAGTGAGGGGTGAGCAGGCCCAGAGCCCTTATCGTGGGAAGGAGCTGGGGAGGTGTGGTGACCAGCTGAGCAGGCCTAGGGCTGGCGTTTCAGCAATTTTGGAGGGCTCTGGGCTCTAGTTGTCTGGTTCCTGGCCCTGGGTGATTCAGGGTAGGGAAATACTGGCCTGGGAGTGCAGGAGCCCATGTAGGAGGTGGCTGGAGCCAAGGGCTTGGATTGGGCGGTTTGCACATGAAAGGCACACTCACCAGGGAGTCCCCAGGAATTAGCTACCCCTGGGAGAGGCAGTTCCTTCTCTGGTCAGTGAGGCCCCAGGATGTCAGAGCATCATAAAATACAGAAATTAAAAAAATAGGATTAATACAACTTGGAGGAAGCATATGGGGTTTTGGGGATGCCGTTCAGACCTCACACTGGTCCAAGCCTTCTGCCTTCCTGGGACTTCTCCACCTCTCCACGCGGTGACAATGGGCAACAGAGACTGGGCCAGGCGGCACGCTTCTTCCCCCGCCCCGCTGACCCCACCAGAAAACACCATTTGCCGTATGATCTCTGGGCAGTGGAGGTCGTACTGTGGGAGGGGCAGCTCTGTTCTTGAGCTCCTTCCACTGGGAGCCCTCAGGCTCAGAGCCCACGTCCCTCCCACCTCCCATCTCCATACCTTCTGTCATTATTTAAATGAGAGTATTATGCAAATGTAATGCAAAAATCGAGTTCAACAAATCTGTTCTTACCCACACAGGGGCAGCTAATTTATGGAGCTCAGACTCAGTCTAGGTCCCTTCTTCGGGGTAATGCTGTTTTTGGAACCCCAGACAAAGTAACAGCAACTCCAAGATTTTCACAGAAGCTTCCTTTGATGACTCCAAGCTCCCCCAGACCCGGTGGAAACGCAGACTCCTTGGCTAACACTGCCATGGGAGTAGAACCCACCACAAGCCCCCTACACTCCACATGGGGAGAGCTGGGACCCATGCCCTACTGGCTAGAAAGTGGTCCATCCTGAGGGACCTGAGTCAACAAGGATGCCGGGGCTGAGCCGGGCCCTGACGGGCACCCGGGACCTCATGGGGGAGCATCTGAGCAGGGCTGGGATGAATGAGGAGACACCAGCAAAGAGGATGTTGAGAACAATTCCTGGGGAGAAAATTGTGGTCTCATTACCTCATTCGAAGTGGCCTGATCTCAAGGAAGCAGGGAGCAGAGAAACATAATCGGAACATCTCTGTGCATCAGGTTTTCGTACTGACCGTGAAGCACCAAGTGGAAGCAAGCCTCGCGCTGGGAGGACAAGGCTCTCGGCGTTTCCTTGTGGATTTATTTGCTCAGCATGAGTGCCCTGTCAAGCCACCCAAGGGACAGAGCTTCTGGCTCAGGGACCACGGTTGGCTCAGCACAGGCAGCCTCTGGAGATGAGAGGGAACCAGTGGATACCCTTCTATCCCTGCTGGCCACGAGGGGTGGCAGTGTCCCAGGTAGAGGTACTTAATAAAGAGGTTGCTGGTTTTATTTTTCTCTAAATTATTTTTCGAGGAGCTTTTCCATAAGCCCAGGCCCTGGGTTCACACCATCACTGGGGCAGAAGCCTCTTCCCTGCCTTGTCTGATGGGGTCTTTACACCTTCCTCGGTCACTGATGCCAGGTGCTATTGTTCCTGCTCAGCCAATGTCTGGACTGAGTCCCGAGCCTCATTCCATGGGCAGTGGCTCTGTCTCCAGGTGGGGCACATGGAGGCCAAGTCCCAGGGCAGGGCCCACGGTGGGCCTGGTCTTACGGGTGGTGAGTCAGCTGGGCCGGCTGAGAGAGAAGAAAATGAGCGGAACCAGGAGCAAGACAGGTGGAGGATGGGCAGAAGACAGGGTGGCCTCCTCAGGTGGAGAGATCTTGAGGGCCATTTTTCATGCCACCTCCCTCCACAAATCTGCCCACGGCTCCCGATAGCCACGCTCTCCAGCACCTGCCCTTTCAAACTCCAGGGCAAGCTCCAGATATCACCACACTGACCATCTAAAGGGAGCTTGGTTAGCAGTGAATACGTGCCCGTGACCCTGTGGGCTCGGGAGACCCCCATGGGGCTTTCCTGCTCCCTTGGGTAGGGGAGGCTCACGCCTGTGGGTCGGCACCAGTCTGCTTCTCATGTCCCTCCTCACCTCCCAGGCCCCTGGCCCCGGACAGGATAGGTAGAGGCATTTCCTCTTTTCTGCCTTGACTCACTTCACAGAGAGGGGCCTCCCCCACGTGCCTGGCCCCACTGCCAACCCACCACGTGCCGGCCTTGGAGTATGGGGGAATGTGCTTTGCTGCCATTTCTGAACCTGAGGGAGCTTATCTTTCTTCTGAGAGCCCTGTTCTAGGTAGGCAAGCTCCTGTATACTTTACTGCCATTTGTTCAAGTTCCAATTATGGAAGGGACCCTTAGTGAAAAGAGCTTGGTGCTGAGGTGTAATTCTCTGAGCACACTGGGCCTGAGAGCAGCCTTGCAATGACAGGGTTTTCCGGCTCGAAGGAGCCGTCCCCGAGTCCTTTCCACTGGTCTTGGAAGGGAAGAGTCTGTGTCTCGGCGACAGAGGGTGTCTTTGTGGATAAATGAGGCCTCTTTGTGCATGGCCTGCCCAACAGAGGCCACAGGCCGGACACATGCTGACCTTGGACACCTTCCATCTCTGGGGTCAGGGCTGGGACCAGAGGAGATGCCGAGGCCAAGACTAAAGCCCCCCAAAGGTCTTCTGGGCAACTCCCCGTTCAGGGCTAAAAGTCTCCCTGTGATCCCTCCCAGAGGGTTCTGCTTGCACCCCCAGGGCCAGGCACAGCCCCCACACTCTCCTCCTCCCCACACCAGTTCCTCTGCCACCCTCATGGGGCCTGACCACTCCCTGCAGCTTGGGGAGTCCAAAGCACCCCCTTCCCTGAGGGACAGGAGGGGCCCCTGAGCCAGGGCCCTCTAACAGCCATCCCGGGGCCTGGGGTCTGTGGAGGGGTCACGTCCTTGCTCCTTCCTTTCTGTGTTCCCACTTCTACGAGGAGAGGGGTGGAGACTCTTTCCAGCTCTCCAGGTCTACCTCCACACAGCCTTGGAGGGGCGTCCTGGGGGTAGATTACGAACAGGATGGGGCGCTGCTGTCTTTGTGGAAGCCCAGGCCTCCTCCTCGAAGGCCCTATGATCCCGTGTCTGACTTGTAGGTGTCCGTGTCCCCTTCCCCACCAGGCTGTTCACTCCTCCAGGGTACAGGTCCCCCCTCCAGCTCCTTTCTGGGACCCAGAGCTCACTTCAGGGCTCAGCACAAAGTAGATGGCCTGAGATAAGCAGACAAGTAGATGGCACCGCTGCCAGGCCCACGGGGATCACAGGGCTGCCCACGTGCTCCACGAAACACACAGGCACTGACGTGATGGCAGAGCACCACCAGGGTCTTTCAGGAGGGGACTCAGAGTGCTGAACGACCCCACGCACGCAGTCGTGAGGAAAGAGCTGGGCCTGCTCAGCTCGTCCTACATGTGCAGAGAACACAGTGATCAGAGCTCCTGGCAGTGCCCACCTGTGGTCAGCCTGGGAGAAGGAGGCCTTGTCCTCGATGACAGTGGTTCATGTGCACTGCTGTTTCTGGAGTCAGCAGAAACAAATCCATTCTTTAAGTAACGAACAGAGGCGCCTCTGCTACTTGACACAGAGCAATGCTAGGTGTCGGGTAGTCAGGGGCCAGGGCCTGGGTCTGGGGACTGCGGTGCCCGGTCTAAGACAGAGGCCAGGCTGGCCATATCAGCGAGCAGCAGAAGGCCCCCCAGAAAGCTGTCTCTGGTCCAGCGGCGAGGAGCCCCCACAGGTAGGAGCCACCAAGCGCAGTGACCGCGTGCTCTGCTCTCCAGCCCGTGACAGATCCGAGGGGCACTTTGCAAACTCTCCGAGGCCAGGAGACCATGCATCCTCTTTACCTCCTGCCCTGGCCATGACTTCCATCATGCCCGATCTGACCCTCACCACTATCAGGCACCCTGAAAGGGAGCGTATTCGTGGATGGTAAATGCTAGCCCCATGGGCAGGGGCTTCCTGGCCTGTGCCATGTGACCCTCCCTGACACAGCTGCCTGGACCTCAGCCAGGACTTTGGACTCGGGGAGCAGGTCATCAGTCACACCCTTGGCAGGACCTGTCCTGGGAGCCCTCTGTGTGTGGGGAGCTGCCTCATTCCCCTGTGAACACAGTAGGGCATCATGGGGTACGACGGTGAGCACTGGAGCTACCCTGGGGGCTGGGCTCAGTCCTGAGGTCAGGCCCAACCTAAGCTGGGCAGCCTGGTGTCAGCTGCAAGAACCCTCTTCACCTTCCTCATTCCTACATGACTTTCCAGTGTAGGCCATCGGGTGGGATGGGGTAAAAAAACACAGGCCCCATTCTACCCCTCTGCTGATCCACACATGGACATGTGTACACCCAGGCCTCCCTGCTCACAACCATGGCCAGGAAGGCAGGCTCCGGCCAGGGCTCTGAAATGCCAGGAGGGTATAGAGAAGACAGGTGGCCCTCTGCCCCTGCAGTCAGGCAGCACCTGCCCACTCCGAATGCTGCAGCCAGCTGGTTACAGTGTCTGTTACTCAGCTAGTGCGTTTGCCAGTGCTCTTCAGTGTCACCATCGTGGCAGCCTCTGTCATTGAGAACAGTTTAACACAGGAGAAAGAAGTTGCAGGGCCCTGCCCCGGTAGAGGTCTGTCTTCCCTGCCAGCTTTACCCAGCGCGGCCGTGGGAACTGCAGGAACCAGGCTCCCAGGAGGATGCAGACTGACTGACCGCTGCTCCCCGGGGAAGAGCCGCTTTCTAGCACTTCCTTCCTCTTCCTGCAGCCCTCTCTTACCTTCCTGGGGTAGGGAAGGGATGCTGATGTGCTGAGATGGGGTTTTCTGCCTGTTAGAATTGCTGGGGAAAACAACTTACTGTTTTAGCAAGGAAACAACATGCTTCATGGCAGCAAATTGTGTTTTCAGGGGCTCCAGAAAGATATCAGTCTGTTATAAAATAATCAGGCCAATGCTCAGGACCCATCACTAAGGAATAAACCAGCAGCTCTCCACGAGGGGGCACAGCTAGCTTTCCTCTTCACCTCCAGAGGCTGAGGCATCTTGCTGGCTTGAGGCAGCCAGGCACCAGGTGGGAGCTGCAGTGCAGGGGCAGGCCTGGGGGCCTGATTATCGCAGGAGGAGAAATGCATAGTATGTTCATCCCCCCAGAGTGACGCTGGAGAAAAGAAGCCCCAGGTCTCTCCCTTGCCCCTCTATTCCCCACCAACCCAGCTGCCCCAGCAGAGGGACAAAGGCCTGGTGATGCCTCTGTCCTGGGGACAGTGAGTGATGGGAAGGGGGCCCAGCGGGTTTGTCACCACTGGGATCTGACACATGCAGACTCCCAGGTATCCAATAATAAGTCTCATGACCAGCAGGGGCTAAGGGGTGTTGGGTGTGCGTTTCTGTGCTTGTGTGTGTGAATTCCAAGAATCTTTCTTAAATTCTGGACATCTAGGGGCCAGGGCTGTCACTTTCCACCATTTCTGAGAGCACAGACATGTGCACTGCCCCCTCCTCTCAGCCCCCCTCCCTTCTTCTTGCTCAGTGCTCCATACTCCCAGTCCCTTCAGTTCAGGCCTGGAGGAGTCGCCCCTCCTGGAACTGCTGAAGGGTGGGGAGGCAGCTTTCTGGACAGAGGAGCAGGCAGGGAGGGTGCTCCCCCTTGCAGGCTGTTCTGAAGGGTGGATTCTTCTTGCTGCTTCTTGGGAGACTGCATGCCCAAGGGAGCACAGCCATGCCAGCCTCACGTGACTCATCTGAAGTCACAGCCAGCTCTGTAACCTGCTCCGTTGTCGTGAGGCTTTGTCCTTGCTTTGTCCCCACCACTCTGAGCCTGTATGTCCTGCATGTTGCACACAGCTCAGCCTCACTTGGGCCCCACTTCCCAGAGAAGCCAGGAGCAGACGTTCCTCTCAGAGCTCTCAGCGCCCGGTGGGGCAGGGCCCTTTAATCACGCCATGAAAGACAGCAAGGACATGAGTCTCTGCTTAGTTACTATCTAGGTCTCTGTGGTCCAGCCGGGGAAGGGGTGGAGGCAGCATGTTCCCTGCTGTGGCCAAACTAGGCCGCTGGGCCCCGGGTGCTGGCCTGCCAGGTGCTGTGGGGTCTGCCCCGTGCATCTTGTGCAGAGGCCCTCCCCAGGCCCCACTGGACCACGGCTAAGGCTGAGCTTTAACTCGTTTGTATAAAAGCAGATTTCAGGTGTACTAACTGAACAAGACGATGCTTTTAAAAATCAAGAGTGGCAACAAAAGAGCAAGGGGCCACGCCCCAAGGTCCCACCCGAACACCTCCCAGTAAGTGACGGCAACACAGGAGACTTAAGGGATTCAACGGACACGTCCTTTAGCCAAGATGTGGCATTTCTGTCTGTAATGTGAACACTTCCTTATATGATGGGGGTTAGTAAACATCCCCCATTCCTCAGGTGGGGACAGTCACATGCTTGCAGGAGGATTTTCCTATTACGGGGCTGAGACCAGTGAGGCAATGATCTTGGAAGCTGCCATTAGTCACCATCTGGGCAAGCAGCTGTTACAGTGTGCAGTGTTACCCTTCAGCTCTGGGGTTCTTTGAGCCCTGCCGGCGTGTCCTTGCTGACCGTCTCTGATTGGGGCCAGGCTGTGGGTGTTCCCGGCCATCAGAGCTGCCGGGGGACCCTGGAGAGCAGCTTTCCCAACTGTGTCATCATAGAGAAAAGGAAGCCGAGGCCACGGTCCACAGCTGGGGGCACAATCAGGTGAGAATTCTAATTCCTTGAGCCTTTCCCCACACTCTGGCCTGAACCAACCCTGCTGACTCGCTGGTGAAGTCCCCCCACCCTGACCGCCTCAGTTTCTCTCCCTGCTGTGCTGGTGCCCTGAGACGGGTCGCTGCTGCATTGAGTATAAGTGCTTCTGAGCACAGAGAGGACTTCCAAGCACTGTGCAGAATCACCAGCAACTTTCAGAAAACAGACAAATTGCTGGGGAAGCAGCATCATTCATGCCCTCTGGTTGAGGGAGGCTAGGGGCCATCCAGGGGTCTGGGGAGACTCGGGGATCCAGGCCCAGACAGAGCCTGTTCCCAGACAAAAACCATGGGTGGCACCCTTCACTCTCTCTTCCCATGGAAACTGCATCCAAAGCAAGAAACTTCCATTTGAGACCACACTGAACAAGAAAGGGCCATTACATTTTATTCTGAAATGGCCCCTGGAGAAAGAATGGAAGCAAATTGCACAAGTGGGCGTCCATCTCCTTCCACCCGGCCACGGTCACCGTGGTGCTCGGCCAGGCTCCTGGTGACGTGAGGCAAATCTCTCCGCTGGCAAACCAGCCCACACACTCCCTCCATTGCAGACGGTCACCCAGAGCTGGGAGAAGCACCAGGGCCCTGAGCCCGGCCTCTACAGGCACAATGAGTATCATTTTACATCTCTGACCACGTCTTATCTTCTCTCCAAGATGCGCTCTAACACTTGGTCAAATTAACAGTAAACAGCGTCTTCCAAGCTGAAAACAAATGCATCTCACTTGACATTCCGCATCAGCACCATCCCTCACCTCAGCTGTGTGGGGACTGGACTCTTCAGACAGCAGTGCTGCTCAGAAGAGAGCGAAGGCAGTGGCCAGCCCCTCTCCTGCCTGTGCACTCGGGGAATCTGCCGGTTGTGAACTGGCCTGGCCACAGAAGGCGCCTTCCTCTGCTCTGACCACGGTGGAGCGCGGGATCTCCTGGGATGGGCATTTCTCTTTTCCTGGGAGGTCATGGGGCATGAGCTGCACTGAGCAGCGGAGGGCCGGTGGGCTGAAGCCCTGCTCTTGATTTCACACACCTCTTCCAAGACTTTCAAAGTGCTCCTTTGAAACATCCTCCGAGCCCCACGCTGGCCTCAACCGGGGAAAGTGCTCTGCTACCCTCTCCAAGGACAATTGGTTCTTGGGAAGGTCTGCCCCACACTGGGCCAACCACGAACCTTCCTTGGGAATTTCTGAATTAGAACCAACAGCCAAGGCTCATCCACCCCTGGGGTGACCAATACACATTACAGACCAGGAGCCAGAGGACTGGTTGCTTTAAAACAGGAACAAAACTGAATCTGGACCAGCAGCTGCAACTAGAGTGACCCCGGTTAAGTTTATGATAATCCTCAGTCCTTCTCCAAGAGCTGTCTCCCTTCCGTGCGGGCCGAGTAGGTGAGCTGTACGGAGATGTGGTAGGAATCCCACCCCTGCCTCCTCAAGTCTGTGATGGTGGCCCTCATCTCTGCAATCCTCCAGGGATATGGTATTGCATTTAGTTTGCTATTTTCACAGGAAGACGCAGTTCCAGCGGCCTCTGTTTGGCCTTTCTGACCATAACAGCTCTCGCTCTGTGGCCCGGAGAGCCAATGTGAGGATTTTGCCCATTGTTGAATAGTCAGTTCAAGTCATGAATTTGGGAACTGGGGAAATAACCACAGGGTGGACGCAGTGGGCCCCACTATGCATCAAACCTGAGCCAAAACTCTGCTGACCCAAAAGTCCCCACCCTGACTGTGAACCACAGTGACATTTGGGGTTTCCAGGAGTTGGTGTCATTTCGGAGCCAGTGTCCAGTAACGCTTGCAGAGTCTGATCAGTTCCCTTCCACAGTAGAGACAGCGGCCACAGCGTCTTCAGGGAAGGCTGGGAGGAAGGTGAAGCCTCTATGGTTTCACCAGGTGGCAGTGTGGTGGGCCCTTCCTCCAGGGGCTCTGGGTCTGTAAACTGGTTTAAGTCTGAGAATTGAGATGCTGTGACTCTCTATTGTGGTGACATGTGTCAGACTTCTGTTCATCAGGCCTACAGCGTGGATCTGTGGCCAATACATTGGCCACAATGTTCCTGTTGAAACAGGTCGGGGAATGCCAGCTTTCTGCTCCAAACATCCAGGAACTTCTCCACGCCTCCAAGTGGCCTGCAAGGCCCCGCCGGCCCTGCCCCATTCCCTCTCAACTCCATCTTCCACAGCTCATGGTTCTCACTGGCCTCCCTGCTCCTGGAATGATCTGGGTGTGCTCCCACTTCTCCCAGGCCCAGCTCGCCTGGCCCTCGCCTGTCTCAGTCTCTGTGCAGGTGACAACCTCTTGGGAAGACCTTCCCTGGCCATACCTTTGAACTTGCTTCCTGCTTTCACATTGTCTACCCCTTTTCTGCTTTACTTTTCTTCAAAGCCCTTATCATTGCCTTGCACACTGCATGTTTTAATTATTTAGTTGTTTATTGCGTGTCTCCTCCCTCTAAAATTTTAATCTCCATTGGGTAGGACATTTCCTGGCACACACTCAGAATTTTTGTGTTATGATTGAAGGAATAACATCAGCAATGCTGTTCTTTCCCTCAATTACTATGTTTCGAGCTTGTGGCAATCTGTAGAAGTTAGTCAATGGGCCTTACAATCCTGATTTGGAGAAAAGGGGGCCATGAAAAGGAGGGACAAGGTGTCATATATCAATGCGGCCAAGCGCCGACGCTGCCTCCTCCTTCCCCAGATCACCAGGAAGAAGTCAGAGGAGGCTGCTGTTCGTCGACCCACATGCTCCCTTGGGAGCTTGAGAAGCTGCTCCCCCTGGTGCTGCCCCTGGGTGCTGCTTACCGGGAAACTCATGGCATCCGAGATGCTCCACTGCGCTGGGTCTGTCCCGGATCCTCCCCGCAGGTCAGATTCATGTCAGGAATGCTGGAGGGTATTGCGGTCTGGCAGGAGCTCACTGTAGGGAAGGAGAGGCTGGGCTGGATCCCGAGGCTGAGCCGTCCGGCTCTGCAGCCCTCCCGGTGCTCAGTTATCAGGCTCACTACCTCTCAGAGGCGTCTCTTCTCTCTGTGGACATTTGTCTGTCACAGCTGCAAGATTCTCACAATAAACTTGCTCTCCAAATTCCTAAAAGAATTGCTTGCTCCAGTTTAGCCAGCTAAGACTTTCTTGGATAATGGCATAATCTGGAAGGATATTTAACAAATTCGTTTAAACTGGAAATTATTGACTCTATGGTGAGTCAGGAAAAACCACATTCACAATATTCAACAGCAGCGCTGGGCCTTGATGCTCCAGGGCAGTGCAGGGATTAGAGATCTGAGAGGTTTCATGACGCTTCTCAGGGGAATACACGGGTTCTGGGTTCTTCTAAGGAAGCTCCCTCCATGCCAGCCACCACCTTGTCTCTGCTGGGGAAACAGTGGTCCAGGGGCCCTCAACTGCAGGGAAATTATTGAACCTCCCAATGTCACTGCATCTCCTCTGGGTCTTCTTTTATTCCTTCTTTCCCCTAGAAAACACCTTCTGACACACTCCCGCTCTGCCTGTCTGTCCCCGGCTGCGGCCAGACAGCGAGCAGGGAAGAAATCCAGTGTCTGGACTGTTTGCTGGTCTGCAGAACCTGTTCTCTCGCAGTATCTGTTTTCCAATGCAGATTTTCACAGTTCCCTAAACAAACTTAAATTTCCATTCCCAGAATGACTTCATTTCCTGATACCCAGCCCAAATTCACGTGTGTTTGCAGCCGATGTGGCAACATAGCCACTTGGGTGGGGGTGAACATCACAGCCCACAGTTCTGCAGTTCAGATTTGGGTTTATCTTAGCACTTAGTGCAACTTTGCATTTGGCAGAGGTCTTTCTCTTTTGTAGTCCTTGCCACCAACCTCATTACTTGTGAGAGTCTGCCTCATGCCTGTCTGCTCAGCAGATGAGAGACCTTGAGGCCTGGGAAGATCCCGCCCTCCTTGGCTCTGTATTCCTAGGTAGTGCATTGCCTAGTGGTTGGTTAATTTTAGGTGTCAACTTGACTAGGCTGAGGGAAACCCAGATAGCTGATAAAACATGCTTTCTAAGTGCGCCTGAGAGGGCGTTTCCAGAAGAGATCAGCATTTGAATCAGGGGAGTGAGTGGGAAAATCCACGCTCCCCGAAGCCTGAGGGCCCAGATAGAACAAAAAGGCAGAGGAAGGGTGAATTCTTTCCTTATTCTGGATCTGAGACATCCATCTTCTCCTGCCCCCAAACATCAGAACTCGGGGTTCTCAGGCCTTTGGACTCTGGGACGTACACCAGCAACTTCCCTGGTTCTCCAGCTTGTAGATGGCAGCAGGACTTCTCATCCTCCATAATCACATGAGCCAAGTCACATGAAAAATCCCTGCTCATCCCTCTCTCTGTGTACATCCTATTGGTTCTGTTTCTATGGAGAACTCTAATACAACTGGCACAGACTAGCTGCTCAACAAGTGTTTTATTTCTGAATGACTGAGATGTTTGAGCAGCTTCCAAGCTTACATACCTGTGTTTCCATTAAAGCCATTGTTTAGGAGGCCGATGGCAACAAAAGGTTGAAACATGGCAAAATCAGGGGCAGTTGATTTGAGTTATACCGTGATGTGTTTACATTTGTACTATGATAGGGATTTATTGCAAGGAGTTAGGAATGCTGGCCTCTAAAAGCTGGAAAAGTGTATTTTGTTGGGGAGGCCTGGGAGCCCCCATCTCACACACAGGAGGGAAGACACAAGGGGAAGCACTCGTGACGATGAACGAGATGTTGTTCCTGCCAGACGCAGGTCCTTGCCATGTGTGTGCATAACCTCATTTCATTCGATAGCAACTCAGGAGGAGGAAATCATTATTAACTGTATTCTTTTATGTACAGAAGCTGAGGCTTGAAAGTGAAAATGACACAGCTGTTCATGGTCTTGCTGGCATTGGAGCCAGGAGAGAAAAATCCCTTGGTAAAATCTCCCAGCTGAATGGGGAAATGGGAATATATCCCGCATGGCCCAAAGAGACCATGGCTGGAAGTGGTCACAGTCCTCGAGGGGGAGCTGTGTGGTGGCCAGGCTGTGGTCATGAAGACACAGCGGCGTGGGAGGCTGAGGGTCGCTGGGGATGCTGGCTGGAATGTTTCTGTTAATAGCTGGAGCTCCAGAGCCTGTCCTGGAAGAGGGATGGGGGCCTGGTCCTGGGAGGGTTTGTAAACCGGCATGAGCACATGTCAGGGTGGAGCTCTGACGTCAGGCCCCTGGCATGACTACAATAGACATCACACAAATGGGGCAAGAGGACCAAGCCTCCCCACGGTATAGCTGCTCAACTGTGTGGGGGGAGCTGTGGTGAAACACAGGACTCACTTAGAAAGATCCAGAGAGATAATCCACCCACAGAAAACCTGGAGAGCATTTTGAAACTTCCTACAGGAAATCCAGGAGAAAAGGAGTCCTATTCAGTGATGGGAGGGGGGGCAGGTCAGGGGCCGCATCGGAAGGCAGTCGTCTGAAGGGATGCACGGATTCACGACGGAGGTGCTGAGACAGCCACAGGAGATTGGGTGGGGAATCTAGAGCTGGGACACTCTGGTTTTGATGGAAGGAGCATCGCCCTAGGAAGCAAAGACACAGATTCGAGTCCAGGCCTGGAGCAAACTTCAATCACCCTTAAGCCCTCTGAGTTTCTGCGTCTGTGAAATAAGCATAATGATTCCCACCTCACAGGGGCAGGGGCAGGGGCAGGACACTGTGAGATTGTAAGGGTTGGTGTCCCTCTTCGCATGGAGTCAGCAGCCGGCTGGGCTGAGGGAGGTGTTTCTGTCCTTAGGTGTCGCAGGCTGGCTCTCGTGCGTCCTTCCTTCCACTTCTCCCCACCTGCATCCACACAGAGAATACACTACCTCCATAAAACGCTTGCAAGGGGCCACTGTTCTCAGCATTTCACCTGTCAACCTCACTTAAGCCTTAAACAGCCTATGATGAGGTTCTGATACTGTCTCCCTTGGCCTGCTGGAAGGCCCAGTGCTGAAGGACAACTGGGCACCCCGGCTCTTGGTATGGTCAAAGGCTCTCACCTGGACAGGGAGGACCCCCTCCTCTCCCTGGGCCTTCTGCTGCCCTGAGCCCCTACTGCTCTCTGCCACGGACTCGGGAGGGAGCATGAGCTGCATCCAACAGGCCGCAGCAGGTCCCGGCCTCTCAGCACCCAAGACCAGACAGAGGCAGTGCCTCGGCTGCAGTAAAGGCCTAGCGACCTGGGTGGGCATGGGGCACACGTTCTTACTCTGGCATTAGAGGTCATGCCACTGCTTGTCTTTACCATTCTACCCAGTGTCCTGCGAGGACTTGGTCCTCAGGTGGGTCACAAGTCTCAAGTCCATTAATTAACTGGTCGGAAGTGAGTCCTGGTCCATCCCTGTGAGGAGCAGGGGGACTGGCACCTCATTTCCTCGTGGACTCATGGCCCTACACAACGACACGCCTGGCCTTCCTGGACCCATGCACTCACTCCAGAAGGACATTTGCTTTGAGCTCGCCTGGTGGATGGGGTGCCCCTGAACATCTAACCATCAGTTGACATTTCCACCATCAGAAAGTTCCTCTAGGCAGCGCCCAGCTAGTGCTCCAAAGAGGTGCAGAATCTCTGAGAAATTATGTGGTCCACAGTCAACAGCTAACAACATTCATAGGACCTTATTAGCCGCCAGCTTGGAGAAGGCCAGTGTCCAGAATAAATCAAATCCTTCATAATTGTCAGACGGTGGTGACTCGGTCAAATCTCGGTCAAAAGATGCTCTGGCCAAAGTCAACAGAGAGCAGAAGCAACTTGCTTTTGCTGGTGCCTCAGCAAGACCACACAGGGAGATTTGCAGGCAATAAACAATGTTGCCTAAAACTTTCCCGTGAGGTGGGAATTGTTTTCATCCAGATAAGAAGGTGCCGGCCCAGGGGAGGTGTGGGTGGCCAAGCCAGGGATGGAGCCCTCACGTGGCCTCAAGAGATCAGCAGCCAGGAGTTAGCTCTCTCCACAGCACGCTGAAACGGCTCCACGCCTCTGCTGGTGTTTTTATAGGAACCCCTTTTGTGTGTTTGCTTCCTAGCTTGGACTTGAGTCAAATGGTCTATTAATTAGGGTAGATTTAGTCACTCCTGACATCAGCTTGTGTGGTTCGAGCAGCCCAAGGGGAAGAGACAGGGCCTCCTTTATGCAGACCCCGCAGTCTTCAGAGGACTGGACACAGCCCTGGCCCTGCTGCTGTCTGCCGTGCCTTTTGCTCCCTGGGTTTCATTCCTTGGTCTGTACCTTGAATATAAGGAGATCCGTTTGTACATTTTGCTCTCGTGCATTATACCAAAGGAAAAGAGAAGATAGTAGTTTAAAGCTCCCAACACTTTTCATGTTCTGAGCCTTTAGGTCTCCCATATGGTAGAGAATCCACAAATATCAGAGGACCCCAAACCTCGCCCGAGATGAAACAGCTTTGAGGCTTCCAGGGATCCCTCAGAAGGCTGCACCCAGGCCGGCCACACGTTAAAACGTGATGGCTCTTTTCTTCTCTGTTCACTGTGGTTTTATCAGACAGAGCTCTAAACCAGTTTATTCAATGACATGGAGTGATTCTCTCCTGTCTCTGCTTGTCCAGTGTGTGACAAGAGTTGAGAAGTGGGGAGACACAGGGGGCACATTGAATGCAGGTGGTCTTACCCGCCTCACTCAGGATGCACGTCTTGCCTGGCTAGGCTTGGCCTCCTCTGCACTGTGTGCCCCTCTAAATGAAGCGTGACCCTTCTTCCCCCACCTCATTGGTGGTTCTCTGCCCCCATGAGCTCAGCCAGCTGCTTCCCTGACACATGCAGGTCCTAGCCTGGACGAGACGGAGCAACAAGGCCGAGTGGGGACGAACACTGGCCTGGCTTTCAGGTCCACCTTTGCCTCATGCAGATGCTTCTCTACCCTTTATGATTGAGATCCTGGAGCAGGGGATCACCTTGTTGTAAGGACCATAAAGTGGAGAAGGAGCAGGGAGAGGTTAGGACCATTGCTGCAAGCTCCTGGTGTCCCTGACAGTGAGAGAGGCAGGACACTCGCCTGGGCTGGGCCTGAAGATGCTGCTTTCTCCTCTGCATGCCTGGGGTCCAACGAGGGTCATGGGACCCAGGAACGTCTCTGCAACTCTGTCTGTAAACATCCAGGAGCTAATTGTGACCTGGAAGTCATTCAGAACTCAGCACAGAGGCCTTCAGAAGTCCCTGCCTTCAGATAAGGGCAGGTGCTTACTCTCCCAGTGGCTAGCACTGTTAAAACAGACTTTTTTTTTTCTATAGCCAACATCATAACAAATGATGAAATACTCAATAACTCCCCCTAAAACGGGAAGAAAGGGAAGGGTTTCTGTTTTTGTTTTCATCTCTTCTTGTGAGCATTGGGCTGGGAGGTTCCAGCCAGTGCAAAGAGATGAGGAAAAGAAAAGTATAAATATTGGAAAGAAATAAGTAAAACTATCCTCATTTACAGGTGAAATGAGGTGGCAAATCCTAAGGGATCCACAAAAAATCAACTTGAACCAATAAGTGAATTCTGCAACATCACAAGACACCAAGTCAATATGTAAAGATCAGTTGTATTTCTATATACTACTGATGACTAATTTAAAACATCACAGGACACCAGGTCAACATATAAAGATAGGTTGTATTTCTATATACTGCTGATGACTAATTTAAAATGAAGTCAAAAATACTATCTATAATAGTAAAATCAAATACTTAGGGATAAATTTCACAATATATGTGAAAACCTCTACACCAAAAATTATCTGAGAGATATATCTCTAAATATACCATGTCTAATTCTTCACAAATTGATCTAATCATTCAATGAAATCTCAATTGGAGTCCCTGTGGACTTTTCCTCTAAATTAACAGGATGATTTAGAAGTTCATAGAGAAGTGAAGGTCTAAGGGCAGCCACAGCCATCTGGAAAGGAACGGCACCATCAGAAGAGTTGTCAAATCTTGCACCAGTAAGGCCATAAAGAAATAGCTCACTGGCATAGAGCAGAGATTACAGAAATAGGCTGACAGGCACCATCCCATGATTTTCAACAAGCAGGCCAAAACCACAGGGGGAAACATGGTACTGAAATAACTGGATATCAGGCCAGGCGTAGGGGGGCTCATGCCTGTAGTCCCAGGACTTTGGGATGCCAAGGTGGGAGGATTGCTTGGGTCCAGAAGTTTGAGACGAGTGTGGGCAACGTCATAAGACTCTGTGTCTCTACACAGAGATGTAGGCCAGGCACGGAGGTGCACACTGAGGCAGGAGGATCCCTTGAGCCCAGGGGTTTTAGGCTGCAGTAAGCTGTGATCGCAGCTTGGGCGATAGAGTGAGATCCTGTCTCTAAAATATAAAATATATAAATAAATAAAAGAAAACTGGATATCCACATGAAAAGAAAAAAGAATCTTGACTCCTCCCTCTCATACCTTCGAAACTGAGAGGTTAGGCAAGGGTTTCATAGAGAAGACACAAGCCATAAACTAGAAGATTGATAAACTAGAGTATAACTTACAAGGGAAACGAGAGTGACTTCATGCTGGAGAAACCTGGCCAGCACACTCTGCCAGGTAGCCGAGGTCAACATCAGCAGTGAGCCGGGCCGAGGCAGGACCCCTGATGTGGTGGGATGAGAAGCGCCTCACCTCTGCTCTTCCTCCAAGGAGCCCACAGCCGGAATCTGATCATGAAAAAAAGACTTCACACGAATCCCGGCAGACAGACACTCCCCCAGATGCCTGAGCCCAGCTTCTCAGAACTTTCAAGATCACAGAAAACAAGGAAGGTCTGAGAAACTGTCACGGCCCAGAGGACCCCAAGGAGATGTGACAAGCAAATGTCACACGGGATCCTGGATAGGATCCCGGCCCACAAAACGGCCACCCGAGAACAAACCAAATGAACCGTGGGCTTTAGTCAATGATTATGTAGCAACGTTTGTTCGCTAATTCTGACAAATGTACCATTATAATGTAAGGCATTAATAATAAGCAAACTGTGTGAAGTATATGGGAACCCGGCACTATCTTTATAACAATTCTGTAAACTCGAAATGGCTCTAAAATAAAAAAACTTCATTTTAAAAAACCAGCCACAGGGGAAGGAGGGAGATTGATAAATTGGACTTCAAGAAAATGGAAGTCATTGGGTGAAAATACACACAACAGGGACACCTGATGAAAGACCTCCGTGAAGAATGTGTAAGCAACTCTGGAGACCCAGCAATCAACAGACTACTGCCCAATTCTAAAAAACGGGCAAAGACTTGAGCAAACAGTTTGGAAGATACACAAATAGCTGATGAGTTTGAGAAAAGCTGCTCAGCCTCGTAGTGATCAGGAAGTGCAACTGAAAATCTCAGTGGGACGCCCTGCACGCCCGCCAGGATGCAGGCGGAAAGAGGCTGACAACACGACAGTGAGGCTTATGCCAAGCAACCGGATCCTCATCGCCTCTGGGGAGAGCCTGGAATGTGGCCACCACTTAGGACCATGGCTTGGAAATATCTTAAATCCAACGTATTTCTACATGCTAGTGATGCTGCTCATCAAGGGGGTGAGCACTCATGGGCTGGGGATGCTACAGGGTCCTCAGTGCCTGCCCATTTCACAGGACAGGAGACTGAGGTCTAGAGGGAGGCAACAGCCAAGCACGCCCTGGATCCAACGCCTCGCCCAAGCCACCACGGCTGCCTCCTCCTCTGGCCCCTCCATCTCCCCCACTCCTCCTTCTCCCCCTTGTCCCCCTTCTCCTTCTCCCACCCCTCCTCCTCCTACTCCCTCCTCCTCATCCATTGTCCTCCTTGTCCTCCTTATCCCCCTCCTTGTCATTCTCCTCTTCCTCCTAGTCCTCCTTCTCCTCCTCCTTCTCCTCCTCTTCGTTCTCTTCCTTGTCCTCCTCATTCTCCTCCTTCTCCCCGATTCCTCCTCCTTCTCCCCGACTCCTCCTCCTTCACCTCCTCCTTGTCCTCCTCCCTCTCCTCCTCCTCCTCCTTGTCTTCTTCTTCCTCCTCCTCATCCCCCTCTTCCTCTTCCTAATTCTCCTCCTCTGCCTCCTCCTTGTCCTCTCCCTCCCCCTTGTCCTCCTCGTCTTCCTTTTCTTCCTCCTCTTCTGTCCCAGGGCTTTCAAACTCTGGCTCTCCAACGACATGGAAGAGTTAAAAGGAGGAACGCCGGCTCAGCCAAGCCCCGGAGACTCCTACTTGATATGGGCAGTTTAAAGCCACTTTCCCTTTAAATTTTTCTGTGACAACTCTTTTCATGGAGAATGGAAAGACTCTCGTTAAGTGTTGCCGTTCAGAAGTGTTGGTGGTCGTTGCTAACATGAGATCCAACAAGGTAAATGCCAGAAGCCATCTGCAAGGGGTAATACCTTATTCTGCTTTTGCATAAGTGATGCTGCATCCCTTTATCTCTCTGCTGCGGCCTTCAGTGCTGATGGCCTGTGCCACCCAGTGACTGGTTAAATCAGCTTGAGGAAGAGCTCTTTTGAGCCTCTGTCCTGTTTAGCAGAGGAAACTTCAAAGTCCCAGCATCCTGGTCATGGAATGCTATGTTAACCCTTTCCAAAGTTTGAGACTGAGATGGGCAGACCATTTTAAAGACACACTGCATCCAGCCTCCCATGACAGAGCCTCATGGGAAGGGTGGTGAGCAGAGTCGTGGGGATATTCTATCCTGAGCCTTCCATGTTGGGGCTTCTCGGAGACAGGGGAGGACCACAGCCTCAGTGACTGGCCATTGGCCAAATACACTCATTAAAGTGCCCTCTTCTCCAGGGCTGGGGACCTGACTCTCTCAGTCTGTGGGGCCCAGCCCACCTGCTCCTCCCTAATGGCTCCTGCTGGATGGGGAACAGCCTGGCACCAGGTGAACCATCACTGACTCTCCCTGGGGAGAGACGAGGGAGGAGGGGGCATGTCCAAGAGGCCAAGGTACAAGCCCAGTGCCCTGCAGGTCTTCCAACATTTCCAGCCGTAATGGCCATGATCACCATGGTCTGGACTTTCTGAAGAAAGTCTTTTCACAGGCTCGGCCTGGCTGGAATCTGACCTGTGAAGCCTTTGGGTCAGTCGCAGGAATTATCAAGCATCTGCCATGCCTGGAAGAGTTGGACTGGGGAGGCACAGGGCCTGCCTGGCGTCAGGTGCTGAGGAAGGGATGATAAATGCACCCCCTCTGTTTTGTCCGTTTCTCACGGCCTCTCTGGCCACCCCGTCCGCCTGTGTCTGTCCTGCCCAGCCCTTCTCTGACGAGCGTGTCTTGGCGCTTTGTCTCTGCTCACCCTGGGCTCATCAGTGTAAACAGCAGGAGGTTCCACCCCAGGCGAGGTGTGCCATTGTGACCGAAGGTCTCAGGGAACAGAACTGAGTCTGGGTAGGTTGAGCTGGGAGTTTCATAGCTGTAGGAAGCTGCGATCGCAGCTTCATGATGCAGACAGAAGGCCTTGTCTCAGCTCAGTGGGGGAAGCCCCTTGTCGACTCTAGGCAGGGGGGATTGTACCGCTGCCTCTCCCAGTAGCAGCTCCCAGGAGGCAGTACAGTCACGGGGCCCCGCTGGTAGAAGCCTGAAAAGTCCATCGGGAAAACCTCAAAGGCCACCAGTCCTCGAGGTAGCTGCTGCTCCAGCTGTGCTCACCTGGAGTGGAGGGGCAAACGGCACCAGGGGTGGGAGAGGTCAAGGCAGAGCCTCTGCCCCATCCTAGACCAGCTGCACGAGACGACAGCTCACACCAGCTGCCCAGAGGCACAGCCCCTCTGCCAGGCTTCAGCAGGGCACGGCTTGATCTCAAGGCCCTCTCTTCTCGTCCCACCGCCCCTCCCTCCTGTGACAGGAGGACCAGCAGTTCCACTCTGAGCCCGGCTGAGGCCCGACCTCCTCCACCTCAGCCCTGAGAATCTTCTCCAGCTGGGATGGCTGTTGCCCTGTTGTCCTGTTGCCCTGTTGCCCTGTTGTTCTGTTGTCCTCTTGTCCTGTTGTCCTGTTGTCTTGCCCTCCCAGCTCCTGACCACACAGGGGCTTTGTTCCCGCGCCAGCCTCTTTGGGGAAAGTGGGGGAGGGGGGCCCTGCTCCAGGCTCTGGGACATTTGGCTTGGGCTGTAGCCTGTGTCCAAGGAGAAGAAACCCTGAAGGTGGGTTCCCACCAGATGTGGGCATGGTCAGCTACATCAGGCCCCCAAAGGTGTGCACATCCTAATCCCACGAACCCGTGGGCACGTTACCTTACATGCAAGAGGGGCTCTATGGATGGAGTCGGGATAAGTGTCTAGAGATTGGGAGGTTGTTCTGGGTCATCCAGATGACTTATGAGAGGGCCCTTATGAGAGGGAGACAGCAAGCTCACAGAGAGGGCCATGGAACAACAGCAGCTCAGACACAGCAGAGGCCGCACAGCTGTCCTGGGTGCCGAGTAGCTGCAGAGGTCGGAGGAGGTGCAGAGCAGGTGTTCTGCAGCCTCCAGAGGGACCAGCCCTGCTGACTCCCTGGCTTTGGCTCAGTGAAACTCATTTCGGACTTCTGAGCTCCAGCTCTGCAAGAGAAGAAATCTGTGCTATTTTAAACCACTAAATTTGTGGTTTCTGTTTCAGCAGCAGTGGGAGAGGGCGAAATGCTCTCCAGCTTGGCACCCGCAGCCCAGCTCAAAGGCAGGGACTGTGGTTGCTTTGCAAATGAGGGAGGCTGGGTCCCTGCCCTCACCGGGCTTACCATCTAGGTTTGGAGAGGAGTGACGTAAGGTGAAGTCAGAAAAGAATCATAAGAAAAGAGAGTCCACACCCTGGAAGGATCTGAGGCAGAAGGAAGCTCTTGCTGAACCACCTGAGAGGAGGCGGTCTGGCCTGAGCACCCTGGGGGGCCTGCGCCCCCACTTCGAGGCCCCTCTGGAAGGTGCTTGGCTCTCCGGATGACCCCAGCACTGGGGAGACCCGCTGTGCTTTCCAGGCAGCACAGACACCTCGGTGTAGGTGTTGTGGTGCCACAGGGAAGGGTGTTTCTTCCAGCCTGGTTCTCAGGACGGGCTGCTGGCTGGAACAAACCCCACCTCTATCTGAGCCACCAACCATCTGAACCGGTATTCTCTCTATCTGACAAATATTCCTCCTTCTTTACATCCCAGAAATGGTGAAAATGCACAATGCCTCAGGACGCCTTGAGGAAGGAGCAGCGTGTTGCTGCTGAGGGTGAACACACGTGGTCTCTGAGGAGAGGCGACAGATCTCCCTGGGCGTCAGTCATCCTGGGACTGGGTGTCGTGGAAGAAGGTGACACCAGGCAGAAACCAAGAGCAGGGGAGCTGCAGGCCGGTATCAGAGCCCGTATCAGAGCAGAGTGGCCCCTGAGCGGGGAGGCAGCTGGAGCTCACTGTTGGAGGAGGGCCCGGCACCTGCACCTGAGGACATGAGTCTGAGGCCTGCGGAGAAGCCAGGTGAGACACCGCTGTGCTTCTCTGGGCCACGGCCCCTCACGGCTGCATCCAGTCACCAGAGTTCCTCTGTGCCTCACCCACCCTTGATCATAGAAGACAGCCTGCATGTCCTCAGCTCTGTCCTCCAACCGGCTGCCCGGGAGGCCTCCCTGGCTGCTCCCCAAACTGCACGTGCCCTGAGTCAGCCCTGGGGCCTCATGGACTCCCCTGTTCACGCATCCCGGCAGCGCGCAAACCATCCCTGTCGGCTCCCAGTGAAATGCTACAGGATCTCAGGGCAGCTGCACCCCGCAGGTTCAGAAGGGATGGGATTCTGTGTCCTTTTCCTTCTTGCTTCAGACCTTCACCTGGGGCTCTAACACCGAAAGTCTGTGCCAGACAGAGGCATCCACAGCGACAGGAGCCTGGGCCAGGGCGGCCATCCCTGCTGCAGAGACAAATGTCAGTGTCCATGGAATCAGTTCGGTGCGGTGAGCGGCAGGTCTGATATGAAAGCTACTCGCACTTCCCGTCTGGGCAAGAGCAGGAACTCGGCAGGCAGAGAGCTGGTGGAGCTTTCCATGGGAAAACCAGAACCTTCAAAGAGCCCGGCCTCCCTCTGATCAGCCCCTTCTTTCTGATCAGATGCATTATTGACGAGGCAGCCTCCTCCACCTGCCTCTCATCAGAGCAGCTCGTTTCCCACCGTGGTAATTTATACTTGTGATTTTGGCCTTGATCAATAAAGGCAACGGAGAAGACGCACCCGTTCATTTCCTACAGGAGGGGCGGAAACACACAGGCCTCTGTGCAGAGCTTTCCTGGGCTCTTCTGAAGGCAAGCAAACCCATCAAAGGGAAGATCTGCACGCTGAAAGGTCAGCAGTTCCCTTTTCCCCATGGGATTTGTGTTAGCAACTTTGCGAGTGGAAGATGCATTTGGAACTGCCAGTCCCTTACAGCCCTCACATGGGAGGTGCAATGTTCATCCTGTCACTATTTTAAAACTCGTCTCAGGGTTGGGAGTAACTGAAACCGTTTTGGGCTTAATTTTGCATGAGGACGTAGCAGAGCATGACAGAAGGGAAAAAGAGAAAATGCTGGCAAAGGAGAAATGGCCCTAAGAGGGAAGCCGGATCCCTAGCTGGGTCGGAGTAGATGAGCGGGGAATGAGGGGCTGGAGGATGCAGCTCCGAGCGTGCAGGGGTGGTGTGCTCTCGGGAGGGAGCTGCTGTGGAGCTACTAAGGAGGGAGGCTGAGGGGTGGGAGAAAGCCCAGGGCTGTAATCGTAGCCCCTGGAGCCTGATTTAAAAGACTGGAGGAGGCAAAACCTTTCCTGGGTGACATCCATCCAGGGCATGACCCTGCGGCCTCCGTGTCTGCTGTGGGCGAGGCTGTCCCTGCAGCCAGCCCTGCCCCCATCCCTTCCCTTCTAGGGATGTTGGAGTGTGGGGCAGCCCAGCTTCTGCCCACAGCACAGATGAGGAACTGAGGATGCAGGGGCCCGTGGGGGACGGCACACGGTCAGCCCAGAATTAGGACCTAAGGTTGGCCCTATGGGTTCCTGCAGCACAGACGTGCAGCATGTGCACCCACATGTACACACAATCAGGCATAGCCACAGAGAATCACACCCTCCCACGCACACCCACACCCACACACCCTCCCACAGGCACACGCGCACCCTCACACTCATGGTCTCGCCCTCCCACAGGCACACCTACACTCACCCACGCCTACAGGCACACAAGCACACACTCCTTTCCCCCCACAATCCCTGCACACCCGTGGGCACCTATGCTCTCGTGTGGTCTGGATCTGCCCTCTGTGTGCACAGCCTGTGCCTGGCCCAGCGTGAGTGACTCGTGGATGCTCTGCAGGTGAGACCTGAGGTGAGTGTCCTGGCACCGCCCGGGCCTGGCTATCGGGAAGCTCCGCCCAGACGGCCGCCTCCTCCCTGGCGCGGGCCTCTTCCCTAGGAGGAGCTCGTTAGCTTGTTTTTCCATCGGTATTCTTTGTCCCCAGTCACCCGGACCTGGGGCTGGGCACTGCCAGGGGCAAATGTGCCATGTGGAGAGGCCAAGCGGGGGACAGGGGCGGCTTGTCCGCCAGGTGGCACCGAGGCGGCTGCGTGTGGGGCAGTGTTCCCACTCTCGTCACCAGCCCGCACTTCCCGCTGCCTCTGAGTATTCTGTGGGGGCTGCCCCGGCTGCAGCCCCAGGTGTAGCCTGCTGGAAATCTCACGGTGTCCAGGCCCCATCCCTAACCGGCCCGGGGCATCCCTGATTTCGTGCTCACCGAGAGGGGCCTCCCTCGGCCTGCCCAGCTAAGAGCCTTGCAGGAGCCCTTCTCCAGCCTCACACTGCCAGCCCCTTTGAATTGCAGCACTCAGGTCCCCAGGAAAGGTGTTTTTATCCAGTTAGCTGTTTTTTATACTTATGAAAAAGCTCCGTCGCTTGGAGCAAAGCAGAGTTGATTTTCAGATGTGATTTCTGCAGGCAGAGCAATGTCTGGTTCCTGCTGTTTCTTCTGATGGGCGCGGCGGTGACTGAGGGTGTCCTGCGAGCCGTCGGTGAGCGCTCAGCTGTCCTGGTCTGCAAGTTCCTACTGACATCACAACCTGCTGCTTCTCTCTGTCCTTAAGGGTCAGAAGATGGAGAAAAGGTTCATGTTTCCACCCCTGTATTCTGTTAGGTTCGGGTTTTTGAGAGAGGCTTGTGGGGAAGGGGCCGTGTCCCCACTCCTTCCTTTCTTCTTGTACACATATTTACATCCACTGATTGAGTGATTTACAATCACTCAACATGATTGACGGAACTTCTGGCACTGCGGAAGCTGTGCTAAGGCCTGGGCATTCATGGGACATGGAGCGTGCAAGAGCTGAAGTTTTAATGACTTGCTTGCAGAAAAAGATCAAGTTTTACAACAGAAAATTATGGGGCATAATTTCTATTGTGGCAAGGGACCAGGGCCGTCTCCTGGAGGAAATCTGGAGAGAACATGCCACAGCCAGGCCGGCGTAGAGAGAGGCTCTGGCAGGGGCCCCTCCCAACCCACCCCTGCATGCGTGGGGCTTCTGCTCAGCAACAGGGGCGCAGCTCCACTTTCAAAGTGTGAGGGGCAGGGGCTCAGGTCTCGGATGCCTTCACCACCTGCCTGAGTCGGGCATCGGGCAGGGAGCGTGCGGGGGCCTCTGCCTCTGCTGGCCCAGATGATTCCCTGGCCCTCCTCAAGTGCAGCTCCCATTAAATAGATAGAGCCGGGCTCTGAGCCACGAATTGGGCCAAGCATCCCAAGGGGGTGGAACCGAGTCAGGAGTCAAGACCAGAGGCCAGGAACTGCCCACGCCCATGTTCCTTCCACAGGGCCAGCCTGTCCGGTGGCAACACTAATACCATCCCATGAAGCCTGTGAAAATTAAAGGGAATGGTGCATGTTTAGAGGCCACACACAGCAAGTAACCAATGAACACCCACCCTTCATGCTTGGTTTTCATCACTGGGCCAGCAGGGGCGGAGGCCCCAGCACTCTCCCTGCCTGATGCCCGACTCAGGCAGGTGGGCTTGAGAGCCCCTCCCGGGGCTCCAGGGCTCTGAAGGCATCCAACACCTGGGCCCCTGCCCCTCACATTTTGGAAGTGGAGCTGTGCCCGTGCTGCTGAGCGAAAGCCCCATCCAGCTCTCCGAGAACCAGACGAGGGGCAAGGGAGATGAAGTCTTCCTGGAAACTTGGACTCCAGCTGGTGTGGGGGTCAGAGCAGCAGGCTGAGCCTTCAGGGGGCCTCCGGCAGGCTCCCAAGGCTGCGCTGTGCGTCTCTTCCACCACACGCACTGGGGCATGAGGCCAAGGGCATCGTCTGCAGAGCGAGAGGGAAACTGGGGTGGCAGGGCTTGCGGGCGCAGGACAGCGCCAAGGGGCTTTCGTCTCCCAGCATTAGGACGACCTTGTCCTCTGCCCCTGTCTGGGGGCCGCTGGGTCCCTCCTCACAGGAGCGAGGCAGGCAGCTCTGGTGCAGGGCCGGCCAACAGGCCTCAGATCTGGAGTCACAGACCCAAGGACGAGGACAAGGGCCCCACACACCTCCAAGCAGGCCCTGAGGTACTGACGGGCAGGCAGGACCCTCTGTGACCCTTCCTCACTCCTCACCCAGAGAAGCCAGGAGAGCGGGATGCCGAGGGACTGGAACAGAGAAGGCCTCTTGCAGGGGCTCATGGACAGGAAAACAGAGGAGCCTGCCAGGGCCATGGCCACTGGCAGGACAAGTGCCCACTGGAGCCAAGGCCTGGGCAGGGGAGAGGTCTGCAGAGCAGAGCCCGGCCCTGGGTTCCCACAGAGGCGGCTCGCACAGTGGCTGATTTGCCACTCGTTCACTCAGTTTAGTGAGCAGCACGTGAAATGCTAAATCCGTGTGGGCTCAGGAGCAGCCTCAGATGAGGAGAATCCCACAGTTCGTCGGTGAAGCCCCCACCCCAAATCTCCCACAGTCCTGCTCATGCCCAGGGCGGCAGGTGTCCTTTCTAATGGGTGAGAGCCAGGAGCTGGGGGCTGCGTGCGCTGTGGCCCCTCACCCATGGGGGCCTTCCAGGACCCCAGCAGATGCCTGAAACCGGGGAGTGCCCGACCCTGGAGAGTGTCTTTTCCTATACACACATATCCACCTGTGTGGGTGCGTAGCTGAGTGTGTATGTACACCTGTGTGTGAAAATATCTGTGTTTGCATTGGTGTGTGTGTCCATGAGTTTCTGTGTCTGTGTGGGTGTGTGTGCCCATGAGTGTGAGTGTGTGAATGTGTGTGGGTGTGTAGGTGAGTGTGGATGTGTGTGTGCGAGTGTGAATGTGTGCCCCGTGGGTGTATAGGAGAGTGTGTCTGTGTGCGTGTGCAAATATGTCTGTGTTTGTACTGATGTAAGTGTCCATGAGTGTGTGAGTGCTTCTGTGTAGGTGTGTGGTGTGAATGCATGTCTGTGTGTGCCTGTGTGTGTGTGTGTCCATGAGTGTGTGAATGTGTACCTGTGTCAGTGTGTGAGTGTGTCAATATGGGTGGGTGTGTCCTCCGTGAGTGTGTGCGTGAGTGAATGGTGTCTGTGTGCAGGTCCTCACCATGGGCCGTGTCTCGAGCACATGTGCCCCTGCCTCGGTGGACCGCACGGCCGGCTGGGAGACACAGCCCAGGTGCAGGGCACTCCACCTTTCAGGGCAGGCCTTGCTCGCAGCAGGTTTTCTCCCAAATCTTTGTCTCTCATCTTATCTGGGCGGAAGGTTTTACCAATGAGAAGCAGAAAGGCATTCTTTTCCTCCTTGCTGCCTGCTGACAAGAGGCAGCCAGCCGACCACTTGAAAGGGAGCCGGTACAGTTAGGCTGGGAGGGAAACTTGGATCACAGCCTGGAGATGGTGCGGTGTCCAGCCACTCTGCCGGGAGCTGGGCACTGTGTCTGACACACCGTTGCTGCTGGCCACTTCTAGTATTATTATTTCTGCTCTTTCCTTTCCTTCATCATATGCTCCTGGAAGGGGCTCAGAGGTGTCCCCACCTTGCCTGTCCTGGAAAGTTGTCTCAGAAGGCCCTGTCCCGGTGGAAAGTGCTGGTGGCTCTGGGTGTCTGGGCCTGAATGGTGGGGTGTGGTCCGCTTGGCTCTGAGCAGAGCGCCTCCATGACAACGCCACAGTGTGCAGGGAAATGGGGGTGGGTGTGGGGGAAGCTGGGGGGTACCCCCACTCCTACTACCTTGAGCTCAGACCACCCTCTGCAACTTCCCTGGGGACCCCCACGGCCACGGGCCCTGGTCCAGTGGTGGGCTCTGCTCAGCCCAAGGGCTTTTGGATTAGAGTGTTACCAGCTTCCTGAGCCCATCCCCACCGCCTGACCTCGGCCTTGGCCTCCTGAACTCATTCTCAGCCTCCTGAGCTCGTCCTCAGCCCCCTGAGCCCATCCTCATCCTCCTGAGCTCCTCCCCAGCCTCCTGAGCTCCTCCTCAGCCCCCTGAGCCTGTCCCCGGCTTCCTGAGCTCCTCCCCAGCATCCAGAGCCTGTCCCCAGGCCCTGAGCCCATCCTCAATCTCCTGAGCTCTTCTTCAGCCTCCTGAGCGGGTCCTCAGCCTCCTGAGCGAGTCCTCAGCCTCCCAAGCCTGTCCTCGGCCTTCTGAGCTCCTCCCTGCCCTCCTGACCTTGTTCCTGGCCTCCTAAGTTCATCTTAGCTCAAGGAGAAGGTCTTGGCTCCTCCTGCCTCCAGCAGCCCCTGGACTAGATGCCTAGTTTATCAGCAACCCAGATCTGAGCCTCCTATCTCAGACCCTGGACCATGGAGCTGTGGGCACCAGGGAAAGCTCTGGGGCCTGCTTGGCTTAGATAGGACCATCGGCCCCAGTGCTGAGCCTGGCTTAGGGCCACCCAGGGACGTGTGCTCTTCATCACTTCCTTCAAGCCAGTATCGCAGTGTCAGGAAGACCCGCTCTGTCCTGGTCACAGCGGTTCCCTCCTGCAGGACCCTCAGAGCCACAGGGCAGCAGAGAGACCTGAGCAGATGGTCCTGGTTCCACGGGGCTCCCCTATGTCACCCTGGACCCAGTAATTAGACTCTTCGGGTAGAAAGCTCCAAGGATCAGTGAGGTCTTGGGGGGTAAAGAGGCGCACACAATGATTGCTTTATCTCCCTCAAATATGCAGAAAATGAACTCCATCAGCACACACGGGCCGCAGGGCTTTGTGGGTCCCCAGGGCCCCCTCTGAATTACACTTTTGTTTTCCTGTGGGAGCAGCTTGTGCTCATTAGGGGAAGGCCAGGTGCCCGTTCATCTGGTCAGCCCCCATGCAGCCTGTTGGAGCAATGGGCAGGTGGCCAGGAGTTTGCCCCACATGTTTCTTTCTGAGTCTTTTGTCCAGCTGAGAACTTTCTACTTGATCTGTGCAGGATATCTGAGCAAGGCTGACCACTGCCCAGGCCCTGCATCTGGGCCCACAGAGGCCCCGAGCTCCACCCGTGGTGTCCCTTTTAGCTTAAAGCTGTGATCCCTCCCCTCTGCCATTGCTGGCAGATTTCCAGCCAAGGCCCAGACAAATTTCTATCAGGGGGTTTGAATGGGGTGTGCCTGGAGCAGAGTTTTGAGCAGGACCTGAGGAAGAACAGGGTCCCCCACAACACGGGTGCTGGGAGATGCTTCCTCTAGGCTGCATCCTGATGGGGCCCCACTGGGGATGCTCCAGCCAGCGGGCACTTCAAAAGGTCCCTCCGCTGCTCTGCTGAGGACAGTGATGATTCCTCAGCGTGACCACTCAGGTCCTTCCTTTTCCCCAGTGCCCAGAGCCATGTGCTGCCTGGGGATTCTGCTCTGTTACTTGGGACCCACCAGTGCCCATGGCAAGAGCTGCAGGCTCAGTGCAGCATCGGCCTTGGGACCTCGAGGGAGTGCTCAGCCACCCACCAGGTGACCCACCTGCCCCAGGGCCATCAGGCCACCAATGGTGGGGAGAGAAGGTGACAGAGGATGCAGGTGGCTGTCTGGGCCGTGTCTGCCTGGGGTGTGGAAGATGTCAGGGAACACAGGCCCCAGTCGGATGGAGACTCAGCTCCTAGTTGCTTTCGTGCTGATGGAGTGGTGGCCATGGACGGCACTGACACCCAGAACAGGATGTGTGGCCCGTGCCTGGGGCACACAGACCCCAGCATCTGAGCCCGCCTGTCGCTGGTGGGGGAGAGGGTACCGCAGGTGTCTAACGGGGGCAGAGGGTAGACAACAGCTCCCTCCAGAAGTCACTGCCCATCCAAGTCACGAAGCTTCCCATCAGTCCCCTGCTGCCATTATAACGGGCTTTGCTCAAAACAATGCCTTCGCCCTCTCCCAGCTCTGGAGGTGAGCGGTCTGGAACAGGCCTCACTGGGCTAAAACCAAGGTATCAGCCAGGCCTGGCCTCCTGGAGGCTCCAGCAGCGTCCCCTGTTCCACTCCTAGAGGCCCCCACGTTCAGCCAGTGTTCCTGGACCCTCCAGCGGCTGCCTTCCTAGTCACGTGGGCTCCCCCTGCCGTCAGATCCCTCTCGGGACATGTCATTGCCCCGGCCTCACTCAATACTGCAGGATGCTCTCCCCATCCCCAAGCCCTTAATTTATCCACATCTGCACAGATCCCAAGGATTCTGATGTGGACATCTCCAGGGCCATCAACCTCCTACCACAGCATTCCCTGGCCTCAAGGGCGGACCAGCTCAGCATTGGAAACGCCAGGGTCCGGGCCGGCCTCATGGCCTCCAGGCACCCTCTCCCATCCACTCTCCATCAGGCACCAGGCAAATCTCAATCCCCAAATCCCTCTGGCGCCATGGCCGTAAAGAGAAAACCCAGCCTGGGTGTGGCCCCCACCTCCGCGGCTGCAGCCCTGCCCTCCCCGAAGGCCGCTCCCCCTCCTGCTGCCGAGCCCAGGTCATGGCCTCAGCTCCAGCTTCTCACCGTTCCCAGGTTTTGCAAACTCTCTTGGGCCCTGTGTCTCACCTGCTTCTCCTAATTCTTACGTGGAGTCATGGAGGGTCCCCATATTGGGTTTTAGGGTTCAGAAGCAAACCCAACCCAGCAGGCTCCTCTCCTAGGAAGACCCCATCAGGGACCCCTCCCTTTCCACTGCTCTGTGAGCCTGCAGGGCCCAAGGTGGCCCTGATCTGACAGCATCTCTGTGTGGTAGGGAGGGAGCTGCGGGTGAGCAGCCAGTAGCACTCGTCTCACGCCCTCCCCAAGGCCATGTGTGTCTATGTCCACGTGTGTCTGTAGGTGTGAGCGTGTCTGCACATGTACATCTGGGTGTAGATATGTGTGTGTCCGTGTGTCTGTGTGTGTCTATGTCCCTGTGTGTCTGTCTGCATGTGTATATGCGTGTCTACATATGTGTCTCCATGTCAGTGTGTGTCTCTATGCATATGTACATGTGCTTCTGTGTGCATGTCCATGTGTTTCTATGTGTCTGTCTGCATGTGTCTAAGGCTCACAGGACAGAAGCCACAGCCCCACTTCTGTCAGGGCCATGGGGAGGTCAGTGTTCTGGAAAACACGTCCCCCAGGGGTCTCTGACTCACAGAACCACTTCCTCATGCCCTCTCTGCCCCCACAGTTGGGGAGCACAGGCGCCCACAGCTCAGACCCACAGCTGTGACTCACCCACCTGCTGGTCTCCAGCTGGGCCACTGCCCAGGAAGGGTAGCTGAGGACAGAGAAGGAGCCCACAAGCAGGCAGGGTCCCAGGCAGGGTCTCTCTGGGCCTGCACACAGCCTGCTGACTGGCCCTGGGCAGCCCTTTTCTCACAGGACAGGAGGCCTCCAAAACCCTTTGTGCCCAAGGCCCAAGAGCACTGGGAAAGGCCTGTGAGGCTGGGCGGCCACGCAGGCCTCTCACCCCCGGCCAGTGCTGGCCAACAAGTGAGCCAGATGGCATTTCACTGGGTCTTGATCTCCACATGTCCAAGTCTGCAAACACTGCTTCACATCTGCTTCTCCTGAGGGAGATGCCCCTTCATGTCTCGGGGTCTTTTTCTCATTCTTACTGATTTATAGAAATTCCTTACACATTCCTGAGGCCTACCCTTCGTTAGTTATGTCCCCGGTGAGTATCCTCTCATTTTTAGCTTCTCTTTCATTTTCTTTGAGGTTATTTTTGACCAATAGTTTTTTAAATGTACTCACATTTTATCAGACTCCTATTTTATAGCCAGGGCTTCTTACAATGTATTTAAGAAATCCTTCCCTACAGCCAAGGTCATAAATTGTCCACCTACATTTTCCAGACAAACTTTTAAAGGAAAACTCTTACATAAGTTCTTGCCCCATGTGGGGCTTTGTGTATGTTGGGAAACAGGGATCTTATTTCTTTTTCCATATGGAAAATCATTTTCCCACACCCAGTGATTGCTCTGTTCTTGCGGGAAGGGAAACTCCACAGGAGAACAGGGCAGCAGGGCCCCAAGGAAGGACGAGTGAGGCCCAGCCCAGCTGCCTGCCCCAGGAGTTGTGAAACTCCAGGATGAATTCAGCATGGAACAACTTTAATCCATTCTAATCTGAGGATAAAACTCAGAGAAGTCTTTGCTCCAGGTGAGGGTGCAGTTTGCACAATTAGCTAAATGCTGTCAGTACCAGGCTTTGGGATTTTCTGTTCTCCTTTCAGAGAAAAGGGCAGGGCAGGAAATGCGGGCACCAAACTGAAGTGGGTGTGCACGTGTGTGCTTCGCTATGGGTGTGACTGTATGTGTCTCCATATGTGTGTCTGTGTGGACATTCAAGCATGTGTATGTGTCTTTCTGTGTCTGCATGTGCACACGTGTGTCTACGTGTGTGTGCATGTGTGCCTGTGTATATCTGTATAGCTGTGTGTGCATGTGTGTCTCTGTATGTGTGCCTGTATGTCTATATGCATCTCTGTGTGCACATGCATCTCTATACATGTGTGCCCGTGTGCATGTGCACGTGTGTTCATATGTGTATGTGTGTGCACATGCATGTCTGTATGTGTGTGCGTGTGTTTCTGCATGTACATGTGCACATGCCTTCATATGCATATGTAGCTGTACCTGTGCATGTCCGTGTCTATATGTGCACATACATGCATGTATGTGTGCACGTGTGTCTCTGCATGTGTGTGTATGTGTCTGTGTATAAGTACGTGTCTACATGTCTGTATGTAGGTGCCTGTGTGTACATGAGTGTATGTGTCTCTGGGTGTGTGTGGTACATGAGCAGGTATAGGTTTGTGCATGTGTATGAGTGTCTGCATGTCTGTATGTGTGTGCCTGTGTGTGTGTGTGTATGTGTCTGTGTGTCTGTGGTTGTGTGATGGGCTGACTTGGTGCTGTGAGGATAAAGATGTGCTTCTCCAGGCCCTATGAGGCCCAACCCCCTGAGCATAGGGAGACCTGCCCTCACATTTTGTGTGGAGAACAGCAGGTGAGGGTGGGCACTGGAGTGCAGATGGCGGGAGGGCGGCCTCAGCCTGTGGAGTCTGCAGAGGGGATGGGGGTGTGTGCTCCCAGAGCTGTGCTCTTTTCCTTTTGGAGGCAGATTCCGTATCCTAAGCTGGAGTTCAGTTCTGAGGCTTTGGGTCCAAAACCTCAGTTGTAGGGTCAGGAGCAGGGGCACCAGGTCTGGGGACAGAACGTCGGCAGGTGGCTCCTGTCTCGTGCAGATGTGGTGCCTGCCTCACCCCATTCTCTGCCAGGACCCTGCAGGTTCGGATGCACATCAGGGACTGTGGCTCCCACCTTCCCTGCTCCTAACTCTTCTGTCCTCCCAGGCACGCCCCACCTCCAGCCCTGGGCTCACCCCAACCATCACTTCAGGCAGGAGAGTCCCCATTTGTGGCTACTAGTTCATTCATTCATTCAGAAGGGCCCTGGCCATCAGCCACCCTCAGAGCGGAGTGCAGCTCCACCACTTCGGCCAGGTGACCCTAGTCATGTTCATGAATCTCCCAGCCTCTGATCCCACCTCTCTCAGTGGGGCAACAGCACCCGGTGTGCAGGGTGGCGGCCCAGGGTGGCCGTGGAGTGAGTCACTGGGGAGGGTTCCTGGGTCCTGGGCATCTGAACTGGCTGCACTCGGAAACCCCAGTGCAAATGGGGCAGAGCAACAGTGCGTCTGTGGCAATGGTCCTGGGAGCAACGGTACGTCTGTGGCAACGGTCCTGGGCCCACAGCACGGTCCCAGGCATTCACTGAGTTCTCAATTAAATCAAAACCCCCTTCCACAGAAAGCCCCTCTCCACACTCAGAGGAGGCGGAGAGGCTGGAAGTGTCTCTTAATGAACTGTTTACTGCGAAATGCCTTTCACCTTCCAAGCTGCAGTCTTAGAATTAAACCTGGCATTTGAATGCAATCATGAAGAGAGGGGAGCTCCTCTGTCAGCCAGCAGGACACGATGAAAATCCAATTAAGTTGTGCATGTTAATTCCCCTGCCTGCCTGGGCTCATTGCTGGATGAGGGAGGGGGAGCACGCAGTTTTCTATAGTTTATCTGCACAGCCCAGAGGCAGGTGTTTTACCCGCTGACAATAAAACCCAACAGAGCTGTGACCAAGTGGGTGAAAATAGCAAGTCATTAAAAACGAGCATCTTGAATGCCCATCTTTCAATAACGTAGACGGAAAGTGCTGGAATGAAGAGATTAGGGAATTAATTGTATTGAGGATCCTCTCACTAGCAGACCCCAGGGCAGGAAAAGTGTCTGGCCACCTGCCAGGACCATACAATGGGATTATGTGGGCCCCAAGAGAAGGAACCTGGCTGGACACCCCTGTTGGTTCAGCAAGGAACCAGCCCAGATTTTTGGAACCTGAAAGCACTGAGGTCTTAAATCATGAAACTGGGCTTGAAAGAAAAGCACAAAAATAAGAAAATAAAAGAGAAAGAAAGAAAAGAGAAGGGAAGAAAGCCAGGGCCCTCGTAAGGTTCTTGGTCTTCCGGGGAGAACAGGAAAATCCACCTCGGTTCATTTCTTGGAACTCGATGAGAAAACAGAGGTACTGTCTTCACTTGAATTAATTTTTACATTTAAAATCTGATAGTAAGAAGGAAAGGGTACGTTAGAACTGCAAGAAAATATATGCAGTAACTACAGATTTTATCATCCAGTAACCTGGGACTCTGAGGGCAGGACATGCCTAGGACAGCAGGGTACGAGCACCCTGCAGAGCGGGCTGCCTCCTGAAGGGCCACCCACACCAGGCACGGCGGGGGTGGTCAGGATCCTGTGCCCTCACTCCTTCTCATTCCCTGGGAACTGGCAGGAACATCGCTGCTCTGGGCCAGTGCTGGCCTGGCTCCTCACGAACGCAACACTGCCAGCTCTGCGCCCCTCAGACTGCTGGAAGCATCCCGTAGATCAGAGGATTCTGATCCCTGCCTCCAGGGATGGGGTGTCCACGGCACGTCTCCAGGTATGAACACACACAATTTGGCATGAACACATGCCTTTGGCGTTCTCTGGGACTAGACTGGGCAGATTAACAAGGTACCTTTAAACAGGGGTGCCCAACCCCAAGTGTGGACAGGTACTGGTCCGTGGCCTGTCAGGAACTGGGCCGCACAGCCTCCCGTCGGATCGGCGGCGGCATTCGATCTCATAGGAGCATGAACCCTGTCGTGAGCTGTGCGTGTGAGAGGGATCCAGGTTGCGTGCTCCTTATGAGAATCTAACTAATGCCTGAGCATACGAGGTGGAACAGTTTCATCCCAAAACCATCCCCCCAACCCCACCCTCATCCCACAGTACGTGGGAAAATTGTCTCCCATGAAACTGGTACCAAAATGGTTGGGGACGGCTGCCTTAAAACACAAGGTTGATTTATAGTAAAGGAGCAACAGGCACCGAAATTCACACTCAGGAGAGGAGCCGTGCGAGCTAAAGGAACACAGTCCGTTCCCGTCCTGCAGGAAGCCATCAGCGCTTCTCAAACGTGACGCGGTTCTCACCTAGTCCAGCGGCTATTTCTCCTCCCACTTTCCTGGAGGAACACCGCTGCTAGGCCCTAGGTTTCTGACAGCTCAGCCACTTAAAAGTAGGAAATCCAGCTGCCTAGGACCCATCTTGGTCTGTCCTTCACTCAGTGTGACCTGGAGATTCCTTCGCCTTGTTATGTGAATGTTACGATCTCACACCCAGAATGCAGCAAACATGAAAACCTGTCATTATGAATGTGGATTCCTCCACAGAATAGACGCCTAAATCATGGTATACGGTCTAATTAAATGGAATATTAAAATGAATGAGCTAGAATTTATAAATCAACATAGATAATCTAAGAACAAATTAAATACAGGGACACCAGCAAGATGGAGAACTAGGAAGCCCCAGGGAGTCCTCGTTCCCCCACCGAGACACTGGTTAGCAATAATCTATGGACAGAACAGCCAGTGTGAGAACCCCAGAATCCGATTAGGAGGTTGCAGCACCCCCTGTGAGTGCAAAGCCCAGAAGGGCCACATCTGAGCAGATAAGAAAAAAAGTCACAGCATTTTGTGCCCTGGTGCCTACTGCTCCCTGGCATGATAGGAGCCCTCAATGCCCTCAATGCTTGGCTGCTCTCTAGAGAGGGAGAGTGAAGAGTGGAACATGCATCCAATGTTCTCGCTTTTCAGGGGGCTGCCCATGGGACTGGTATCTGCCTCACCTGACTCAGAGCACTGAGGGAAACTTGCAGAGCTTGAATGTCAGGTAAGGGGCTGCTGAGAGCAAAGACGAGCATCTTCGCTCAGCACAAAGGATCCTGCGGAGCCACAGACACCAGAGGACAGAGGCCTCCTGAAAAACATGGGCAAAACTCTAACTGGGAAACTACTTACACAAGCCCAAAGAAGATGCATCCCCAGAAAAGGCTGAGAAGTTCCAGAATCTCTACCTGGGCTGATTAGTGAAAGTACAAAGCAAGTTAACAAAGACTGCGGGAAGCACAATGTATTTGAAATGCCCAAATATCAATACAAGGTCACAAGGCATACAAAGAAACAGGAAACCAAGGCCCAGTCAAAGGAACAAAATATATCTCAGGAAATGACCGTAAAGACACAGAGATGAATTAACTGATCATTCAAGGTAACCTTCTTAAAGATGCCCAGTGAGCTAAACAAGAACAGAGACAACTGAACGAATTCAGAATACGACTTATGAACAAAATGAGATAACAACAGAGATAGAAATTATAAAAACTGAACAAAACAGAAATTCGGAAACTGAAGAATAACTGAATTTTAAGATCAATAGAGGAGTTCAACAGCAGACTTGATCATGGAGAAAGAACCATCAAATTTGAAGAAAAATTATCTGAAATTATTGAGTGAGAGGAGGGAAAAAAAGCATAAAGAAAGTAATGAGAGCCTGTGAGACTTACGGGAAAACATCAGGCAGAACAATGGAGGTTTTTTACCCCAGAGACGCTGTGGGTTTGATCCCAGGCCACTGCCATAATGTGAATACCACAGCAAGGTGAGTCACAAAATATTTTGGTTTCCCGGCGCATATAAAAGTAATGATTATACTATACTGTAGCCTGTTAATTGTGCAATAGCATTATGTATAAAAAAGTATATACCTTAATGAAAATACTTTCTTTGGCTAAAAATGCTAATGATCATCTAAGCCTTCAACAAGTCATAATTTTTTCATGATGGGGGCTCTTACCTCAGTGTTGATGTCTGCTAACTGATCAGCGTGGCAGTTGCTGAAGACTGGGGTAACCGTGACAATTTCTTAAGACAACAATGAATTTTGCTCTTCAATGGACTCTTTCCTTCACAAAAGACTTATCTGCGGTATGTAATGTCGTTTCACAGCATTTTACTCACAGTAGAACCTCTTTCAAATTTGGAGCCAGTCCTCTCAAACCCTGCTGCTGCTTTATGTAATATTCTGAATACCTTGTTGTCACTTCAAGAATGTTTGTCTCTACCAGGAGTAGATTCCATCTCAAAAAACAACTTTCTTTGCTCATTCGTAAGGAGAAACTCCTCATTCATTAAAGTTTTACCCTGAGATTGCAGCAATTCAGCCACATCGTCAGGCTCCTCTTCTCATTCCAGTTGTCTCACCGTTTCCACCATCTGCAGTTCCTGCCTCCATTAAAGTCTTGAACCACTCAGAGTCACCTGTGAGGGCTGGGATTAAATCCCTGCAGACTCCTGTTCATGTTGATATTTTGCCTCCTCCCATGAAACAGGAACGTTCTTAATGGCATGTAGAGTGGTGAACTACTTCCAGAAGGCATTCCATTCGCTTTGTTCGGATCCAGCAGAGCAATCACTATCTACGGCAGCTATAGCCTTAAGAAATGTATTTCTTTCTTTTTTTTTGAGACGGAGTCTTGCTCTGTCACCCAGGCTGGAGTGCAGTGGAGCAATCTCCACTCACTGCAAGCTCTGCCTCCTGGGTTCACGCCATTCTCCTGCCTCAGCCTCCCGAGTAGCTGGGACTACAGGCGCCCGCCATCACGCCCGGCTAATATTTTGTATTTTTAGTAGAGACGGGGTTTCACCGTGTGAGCCAGGATGGTCTCGATCTCCTGACCTCGTGATCCACCCGCCTCGGCCTCCCAAAGTGCTGGGATTACAGGCGTGAGCCACTGTGCCCAGCCAGAAATGTACTTCTTAAATAATAAGATGAAAGTCAAAATTACTCCTTGATCTATGGGCTGCAAATGGATATTGTGTTAGCAGGCATGAAAACAATATTAATTTAGTACATCTTCATCAGAGCTCTTGGGTGACCAGCTGCATTATAAATAACCAGTAATATTTTGAAAGACATTTTTTTCCTGTGCATAGTTCTCAACAGGGGGCTTAAAATATTCAGTAAACCGTGCTATAACAAATGTGCTGTCATCAAAGCTTTATGTGCCATTTATAGAGTGCAAACAGAGTAGATGCGGCATAATTCTTAAGGGCCTTAGAATGTTCAATATGGTAAATAAGCATTGGCTTCGACTTAAAATCACCAACTGCGTTAGTAATTAACAAGACAGTCAGTCTGTCCTTTGCAGAATTGATGCCAGGTATTAACGTCTCCTCTTCAGCTCTAAAAGTTCGAGATGGCATCTTATTTCAATAGAATGCTGTTTCATCTACATTGCAAATCTGTTGTTTAGTGTAGCCGCCTTCATCAAGCAGCTCAGCTAGATCTTCCGGAGAACTTGCTGAAGCCTCTACATTAGCATTTGCTGCTTCACCTTGTGCTTTTATGTTATGGAAATGGCTTCTTTTCTTAAGCATCATGAACAGCTAACTTCAAACTTTTCTCCTGTGGTTTCCTTACCTCTCTCAGCCTTCACAGAATTGAAGAGCGTTAAGACCTTGCTCTGGATTGGGCTTTGGCTTAATGGAATATTGTGGTTGATTAGATCTTCTACACAGACCACTACAACTATCTTCGTATCAGCAACAAGGCTGTTTTACTTTCTTATTTATGTGTCCACTAGAAGAGCACTTTTAATTTTCTTAAATAACTTTTCCTTTGCATTTATAACATGGCTAACTACTTGGAGCAAGAGGCCTAGCTTTCAGCCTATCTTGGTTATTGACACACCTTCCTCACTAAGCTCACTAACGTCACTTCCAGCTTTTGACCTAAAGTGAGAGATGTGTGACTCTTGCTTTCACTTGAACACTTAGGTCATTGTAGGGCTATTAACCTAATTTCAATATTATTGTGTCTCAGGTAATAGGGAGGCTCAAGGAGAGGGAGAAAGGTGAAGGAATGGCCAGCTGGTGGAGCAGTCAGAACATACATAACATTTATCGATTCAGTTCACCATCTGATATGGTATGGGCAAGGCGCATGGCACTCCAAAACAATTGTAATAGTAACATTAAAGATCACCAATCACAGGTCACTATAACATATATAACAATAAAGAAAATTAAAATTATTATTATAAATTGTACTAAAATGTGACACAGAGACAAGAAGTGAGCACATGCTGTTGGAAAAATGGCACTGGTGGACTTGCTGGATGCAGAGTTGCCGCAGACTTTCCATTTGCAAAACAAAAACACAATGTCAGTTGTGCACGGTGGCTCATGCCTGTAATCCCAGCACTTTGGGAGGCCGAGGCAGGCAGATTGTGTGAGTCCGGGAGTTTGAGACCGGCCTGGGCAACATGGCAAAACACTGTCTCTACAAAAAATAAAAAAAAATCAGCCAAGCGTGGTGGTGCACACCTGCAGTCCCAGCTACTTGGGAGGCTGAGGTGGGAGGATTTCCGGAGCCTGGTAGGTGGAGGTTACAGTGAGCCAAGATCATGCCACTGCACGCCAGCCTGGGAGACAGAGCAAGACCTCATCTCAAAAAAACAAACAAACAAAAAAACCCACAATGTCTGTGAAGTGCAATAAAGCAAAGCACAATAATAAAAGATATGCCTGTGCACACATTATGGGAGTTCCAGAATAGAGAGAGAAAGAGGTGAAGGCCTATTTGAAGAAATCATGGCTGAAAACTTCCCAAATTTGAGCAAAAGAATGGACATAAGAGTTCAAGAAATTCAACTAGAATAAATCCAAAGAGACCCATTATCATCAAACTGTCAGAAGTCAAAGACAAAATAAGAATCTTGAAAACAGCAAGAGAAAAGCAACTCATCAGTGCAAGGGAGCTCCCATAAGATTATAAGTGGGTTTCTGAGCAGAAACTTTGTAGGCCAGAAGGGAGTAGAATGATATATTCAAAGTGCTATCAGAGTAAAAACAGTCAGCCAAGAACACTATATCCAGCAAAATTATCCTTCAAAAATCATCCCAAATAAACAAAAGCTGAGAGAATTCAACACCACGAGATATTTCCTACAAGAAATGCTAAAAGGAGTTCTTCGAGTTGAAATAAAAGGACACTAGACAGCAATCCCAAACTACATGAAAATATGAAACTCTCTAGAAAAGGTAAATATATAGACAAATGTAGAATCCTGTACTATCATAATGTTAGTATATAAATCACTTTTAATTCTTGTATAGAATTTAAAAGATGAAAACATTTAAAAATAATCATAGAACTCTGTTAATGGTTACACAATATAAAAGAGATAATTTGCGACGTCAATAGCCAAGTGTAGGGGAGTGAAGGTGTAAAAGAGTACAGTTTTTGAGTGCAATTGAGGTTAAACTGCTATCAGTTTAAAATGGATCATTATAACTTTAAGATATTTTATGTAATCCCAAGGTGAATATAAAGAAAATATTTATAGAAGACATACAAAAGGAAATAAGAAATCAAAGCATGTCACTATAATTTTTTTTTTTTTTTGAGACAGAGTCTTGCTCTGTCACCCAGGCTGGAGCGCAGTGGTGCAATCTCGGCTCACTGCAACCTCTGCTTCCCAGGTTCAAGTGATTCTCCTGCCTCAGCCTCCTGAGTAGCTGGGATTACAGGTGTGCACCACCATGCCCGGCTAATTTTTGTATTTTTAGTAGAGATGGGTTTTCACCATGTTGGTCAGGCTGGTCTCAAACTCCTGACCTCGTGATCTGCCTGCCTCAGCCTCCCAAAGTGCTGGGATTACAGGTGTGAGCCACCACACCTGGCCTATAAAAAATTTTGAAAGTACAAAGGAAAGGAGTAAGGAGGAAAAATGGAGACAAAATAGCCATAAAACATACAGTAAACAATTAACAAATTGGCAGTAGTAAGTCTTCCTTACCAGTAATTTCTTCAAATGTAAATTAATTAAACTCCCTAATCAAAAGACAGATTGAGTTGATTAAAAATGAAAAGAAAAAAAAAAAGAAGATCCAACTATATGCTGTCTACAAGAAATAAACAGGAACACAACAATGGTAAGAGACCTCAATACTCGCCTTTCAACAATGGATAGAAGAAACAGATAGAAGACCAGTAAGGAAGCAAAGGACTTGAACAGCACTATAGACCAATTGGACCTAACGGACGTATATAGAACACTCTACACAACAACAGCAGAATATATAATACATTCTTCCCAAGGGCACGTGGAATATCTTCCAAGAGAGACCATATGATCGGCCACGAAACAAGTCTTAACAAATGTAAGAGTTTGAAATTATAGAAAATATATGTTCTGATCACAAAGGAATGAAACTAGAAATCAACAGCAGAAGGAAAACGGGAAACTTCACAATTAGTGAATATTTAAAAACAGACTCTTAAGAAACCAAAGGATCAAGGAAGATACCACAGGGAAAAATAGAGAATATCTCAAGACAAATGAAAACAAAAACGCAACATACCAAAACTTATAGGATGCAATGAGAGCAGTATTAAGAGGGAAATTCATAGAGGTGAAAACTTACATTTAAAAAGAAGATGGATCTCAAATAAACAACCTAACTTTACATCTCAAGGAACTAGAAAAAGAAGAACAAGTTAAACATGAATTAGCAGAAAGAAGGAAATGGTAATGATTAGAACAGAGATAAACACAATAATAGAAAACAATAGAAAAATCAACAAACTGAAGAGCTGGATTTTTGAAAAGATCAACAAAATTAACAGAAACTCTTAGCTAGATTAGCTAAGAAAAAAAGAGGGAAGACTCAATTAAATCAGAAATGAAAGAGGCCCCTTACAACTGATGCCACATAAATAAAAAATATTGTAAGAGAATGTCATGAACAATGGCTATATACCAACAAATTGGGTAATCTGGAAGAAATTGAAAAATTCCTAGAAATATACAACCTACCAAGATTGAATCATGAACAAATAATTATCTGAAAAGACCTATAACTAGTAAAAGATTGAATTAGTCATCAAAAATCTCCCAAAAAAGAAAAGCCCAGGACCAGATGGCTTTACCGGAGAATTCTACCAAGGATTTAAATAATTAACAGCAATCCTCCTCACATTCTTCTGAAAAGCTAAACAAGAGGAACACTTCCAACCTCAATGTATAAGGCCAGCATTATCCTGATACCAAGCCCAGACAAGAAAGCTACAGGAAAAGAAAACTACAGACCGATTTTCCCGATAACTGCTGATGCCAAATCCCCAACAAAATACTAGCAAACTGTATTCCGTAGCACATTAAAGGATTATACTCCCTGACCAAGTGGGATTTACTCCTGGAATGGAAGGATGGCTCAAAATATGAACATCAATCAAGATAATCTGCCACACTGTCATAATGAAGGACAAAAACTACACGACTGTCTCAATTGATAGAGAAAAAGGACTTGAGAAAATCCAACACCCTGTTATGAGAAAAACTGTAACTCTGCATGGTTGCGTCCTGTTTGCACCCTGAAGTTCTCCAGACCTACTTTCCCAAAGGACCCAACAGATTCAAGCCTCATCTGCAGGAGAATCGAGTCTCTTCCATCTCCGCGGGCCTGGGCAGGTCTGTTTCCTCTCTGGGTCTGCCATTCCCTTCTGACCAGGGATAGAGATCAGCCTGGAAAGCTGTAAGCTGCACCTGCCTGAGGAACCTAGGTGTGCCCTTTCCCTGTGACCCTTCCCTGAGGGTGTTCCAAAGGCACATGGCAAGGCTGCTTCACCCCAGTCATTCACGGGACCCTGGGCCCTAGGAAGCCAGCTCCAGGCCTCTCCCTAGCATCACTGATCCAACAGGCTTGAACACACACCCTCCTTAACTTCCCTCCTTTCTCTGCATTGGAAACTAGGGGAGAGTTATTTGCCTAATTATGCACGTTGTTTAGTGCCTTTGAGCATCAACATTTAGTGTTATGCTCCTGAGAGGCCAAGTGCTTTACAGCATTTTCTTCAGTATTATATTCCATGTTAATTGCAAGCAGGCCTATTAAAGGCAGGGCTGACTTCACAAACAGCCAGCAAAAGCACAGAGGGGCCGCACTTGCAGGCAGCAGGCCTCAGGCTCATTAAGGAGACCCAGAAAGCTGAGGACTCCTTGCCCTTGAAAGGCCCTGTGTACAGCCAGCATGCCGGAAAGAGCCTCGGAGCTCCGTGGATTTCAAGGCAAAAGGGAGCCAAACATGCACGGATGCCTCTTTCCTGTGCCTGGGGGTTTGTTTCTTCAGGAAATTCCAAATGGGTCTCATTCCCTGGAATTTCAATTGCACCATTGCTTAGTCACTCAACAGTCATCTGTCACTCACCAAAGCCACAGAGTGGGGCCTGAGGGTCACTGGTGTCATGGATACACTTGCTGATTTGTGACCCAAGTCAGGTCTGGATTACAAAGGGCTTTGAATGAATGACTGAGGTTTTGAGGCCAGATGATAGAGAAAGGCAGCCATGGGGGATTTTGGAGAGAGGCCAGGGTGAGCGGTGGGAAGACCAGGCAGGAGAGTCCAAGGGCATCCGTGGAAGCGCACCTGGGGTGGAGAGGACTCGTGGTCCAGATGAGGCACCACTGAGCCGCGTTGGGAGAAGCCTGCAGATGGGAGGTCACTTGGCTGTGAGCAGATCCACGCCTGGGAGGTGGCAGAAGCCAGATGGGATACCATAAAAATCCACATTTAATTTTTCCACTGGTGTGTGCGCTTCTGGAACTCCCCACACAGCAGCCCACACAGCAGCTTAGGAGTGGGTCCATATTCCGACTACTTCATCTCTGGTGTAATCATGACACTCTCTGGCTACCCCAGGAGGGCATGCACCAACATGGCGCTGGGCATAAATTTGAGACTGAGCTGCCTTAGGTTCGAGTCCAGCTCTGAGCCAGCCAGCTGTCCTCAGCAGTGCTCTGGACCCCTCTGCCCTTCAGTTCCTCATTTATAAGGTGGGAGTAATGGAAGCATATCTGAAGCGTGAAGCCGGGGCCTTGTCTGCTCTGAGCTCCCTCAGGATGTTCCAGGCATGTAATGGGGAGAGCAGAGGCTGAGACCTGAGAGCCAATCACATGTTTCCCATCAAGAAGTTTCGACACAGATTCTAAGTCTGAGGAAAAAGGCAAGACTACGGTTCAGCAACAAACTGGGGACTTCAATAACACACTTTCGTTATGAGTAGAACAAGTAGGCAAAAGATCAACAAAGAAATGTCAGATTGGATCAGTTGGCCGGCATCTGCAGAGCATGAGAGCACGCCACCAGCAACCACAGAGCACGCCACCCCGCAACCGCAGAGCACTCCACCCAGCAACCGCATCCGCAGAGCACTCCACCCAGCAACCGCAGAGCACTCCACCCAGCAACTGCATCCGCAGAGCACTCCACCCAGCAACCACAGAGCAGTCCACCCAGCAACCGCATCTGCAGAGCACTCCACCCAGCAACCGCAGAGCACTCCACCCAGCAACCGCATCTGCAGAGCACTCCACCCAGCAACCGCAGAGCACTCCACCCAGCAACCACAGAGCAGTCCATCCAGCAACCGCATCTGCAGAGCACTCCACCCAGCAACCGCAGAGCACTCCACCCAGCAACCGCAGAGCACTCCACCCAGCAACCGCATCCGCAGAGCACTCCACCCAGCAACCGCATCCGCAGAGCACTCCACCCAGCAACCGCATCCGCAGAGCACTCCACCCAGCAACCGCATCCGCAGAGCACTCCACCCAGCAACCGCAGAGCACTCCACCCAGCAACCGCAGAGCACTCCACCCAGCAACCGCATCCGCAGAGCACTCCACCCAGCAACCGCATCCGCAGAGCACTCCACCCAGCAACCGCATCCGCAGAGCACTCCACCCAGCAACCGCATCCGCAGAGCACTCCACCCAGCAACCGCATCCGCAGAGCACTCCACCCAGCAACCGCATCCGCAGAGCACTCCACCCAGCAACCGCATCCGCAGAGCACTCCACCCAGCAACCGCATCCGCAGAGCACTCCACCCAGCAACCGCATCCGCAGAGCACTCCACCCAGCAACCGCATCCGCAGAGCACTCCACCCAGCAACCGCATCCGCAGAGCACTCCACCCAGCAACCGCATCCGCAGAGCACTCCACCCAGCAACCGCATCCGCAGAGCACTCCACCCAGCAACCGCATCCGCAGAGCACTCCACCCAGCAACCGCATCCGCAGAGCACTCCACCCAGCAACCGCATCCGCAGAGCACTCCACCCAGCAACCGCATCCGCAGAGCACTCCACCCAGCAACCGCATCCGCAGAGCACTCCACCCAGCAACCGCATCCGCAGAGCACTCCACCCAGCAACCGCATCCGCAGAGCACTCCACCCAGCAACCGCATCCGCAGAGCACTCCACCCAGCAACCGCATCCGCAGAGCACTCCACCCAGCAACCGCAGAGCACTCCACCCAGCAACCGCATCTGCAGAACACTCCACCCAGCAACCACATCCGCAGAGCACTCCACCCAGCAACCGCAGAGCACACACACTTCTCAAGTGTGCTGGAGCTTGCTCCAGGAAGAACCACATGTTGGGCCACAGAGAAAGTCTCAATAAATTTCAAAGGACTGAAATCATACAAAGTGGGCTCCATAACCACAATGGAATTAAGTTAGAAATCAATAACAGAAGGAAATTTGAGAAATTCACCAAAATGTGTAAAATAAACAACACACTGTTATATAACCAACAGATCAAAGAAGAAATCACAACGGAAATTAGAAAATACTTTGAGATGAAAGGCATTACAAGAAAACCACAGACCAATATCCTTAAGAATATAAATGCAAAAATCCTCCACAAAATACTAGCAAATCAAATCCAGCAACATATAAAAAGAATTATGTGCAAAACCAGATGAGATTTATCCCAGGAACACAAGGTTGATTTGATATCCAAAAGCCAATCAATGTAATACAGCATATTAATGGATTCATACAAAACCACTCTTAGAAGAAAACATAGGAGGAAATCCTTATGGCCTGAGTTTGGCAATGATTTCTTCAATATGGCACCAAAAGCACAAGTGATAAAAGAAAAGAGAGATAAATGACACTTCACTAAAATTAAAAACTTCTGTGCTACAACCAATGCCATTAAGAAAGTGCAAAGATAACCCACATAAAAGGAGAAAATATTAGGAAATCTTCTAGAGTAATCCCCTCTTATCTGCAGGCAATACATCTCAAGGCCCCCAGTAGATGGCTGAGACCACAGAGATTACCAAACACTGTATATACTGTTTTTTCCCATATATGTATACCTGTGATAAAGTTTAATTTATAAATTAGGCACAGGAAGAGATTATCAAGGATAACTATAATAAAATTGAACAATGATAAAAATATGCCGTAATAAGACTTATGTGAATGTGACCTCTCTATCGCTCTCTCTCTCAATACCTTAATGTACTGTACTCACCCCTCTAAATACCTTATTGTACTGTTCTCACCCCTCTTTGTTGTCATCATGTGAGATGACGGAATTGCCTCCGGGAGGAGGTGAGGTGAGGTGAGGTGAATCACGCAGGCATTGTGACATTGTCTTAGGATGCTGTTGACCTTCCGATGAATGATCGGAAGGAGGATCACCAAGCCATGATGAGCAATGGCTGGATGTCAGGAGCAGACAGTGTAACGACTAAGGAAGGAGCAGTCTATACAGTGTGGATACAGTGGACAAAGGGATGGTTCACAGCTGGGAGGGATAGCTTGGGCTGGAGCAAGGTCTCACTGTGCTACTCAGAACAATGCACAGTTCCATGTCGTATTTTCAAGCCATGGCTGACCACAGGTAACTGAAACTGTGGAAACCAGGACACCAGGTAAATGGGACCTGCTGTATCTGATAAGGGACTCATATCCAGAATATGTAAGGAACACTTAAAACTCAAATAAAATAAGGGTTATTAACCCCATTTTAAAATGGGCAAAGGATTTGAATAGGCACTTCTCAAAAGAAGATGTACGAATGGCCAGTAAGTGCAAGAAAAGATGCTCAACATCATTAGTTATTAGGAAGAAGCAAATCAAGACCACAGGGCGATGCTACCTCATACACTAGGAGGGTGATCCTCAAAAAGACAGAAAATAGTCTTGACAAGGACTTAAGAAACAGGAACCTTCTTTGGGAAAGAAAATAGTGCAGACAAAAACAATGAAAAGGCGCTGAAAATGAGTTCAACATAGAGTGACCACATGGCCCAGCAATCCCCCCCTAGGTGTGCGTCCCAGATAATTAAAACCATACATCCAGCCAGGCTAAGGGGCTCATGCCTGTAATCCCAGCACTTTTGGAGGCCGAGGCAGGCAGATCACGAGGTCAGGAGTTCGAGACCAGCCTGACCAACATGAAGAAACCCCATCTCTACTAAAAATACTAAATTATCTGGGCGTGATGGCACATGCCTGCAGTCCCAGCTACTCGGGAGGCTGAGGCAGAAGAATCGCTTGAACCCAGGAGGCAGGGGTTGCAGTGAGCCGAAATCGCACCACTGCATTCCAGCCTGGGCGACAGAGCGAGACTGTCTCAAAACAAACAAACAAACAACAAAAAAGTACATCCAAATAAAAACTTGAACACAAACGTTTGTAGCAGCACCACTCATAAAGCCAAACAATGGAAACAGCCCCGATACACGTGACTGGCGAATGGCTACAGAAGATGTGGTGTATCCGTACAACAGGATGTTATTTGGCCATGAAAAAGAATGAAGTACTTATAAAAAAAAAGAAAAAGAAAAAAGAAATGAAGTGCTGACACAGGCTACAAGGTGGATGAGCCTGAAAACATTATGCGAAGTGAAAGAAGCCAGTCGCAAAAGACCACGCACTATATGTTTACATTTTGAGAAACGTGCAGAACCCATAGATACAGAAAGAGGATTTGTGGTTCTTTAGGGCTGGGGGTGGGGGCAGGGCTGGTGGCTGAGAGTAGCTAAAGGGTGTGGAGTTTCTTTTTGAGGTGGTGAAAATTTTCTAAAATTGACTGTAGTAATGGCTGTAGAACTCTGTGAATATACTGAAAACCATTGTACACTTTAAATGGGTGAATTGCATGGTATGTGAATTATAACCCAGTAAAGCTGTTTAAAAAATAGTGGGGGGCGGGTGGAGGGAATGAAGAGAAGGTGGTTAATGGGTACGAATAAACGGTTTGGTAGGAGGGGTGAGTTCTAGTGTTGATAACACAGTGAGGGGATTATAGTTAACAACAACATACTGTATATTTTGAAATAGCGAGAAGAAAAGATTTGAAATGTTCCCAACATGAAGAAAGGATAGACGTTCGAGGTGATGAACGTCCTAAATACCCCAATTCCATCATTACACATGGCATGCGCGTATCCAAATATCTCATGCACCCCATAAATATGTAAAATGTTATGCATCAATAAACAATTAAAGGTATAAGCGTTGCAGAGTGTCTTCCTTCCAAATAATACAGTATGAAAAGGGAAAAAGAGCAACTTTACAGTGGAGAAAACTGGAAACCTCTGCCTCAGCCACATCGCCGAGGTTGACATCACCGGTGACAAGTCACGCAGACAGCAAGGACGTTGGTGTGATGCTGTGGGAAGGTCACTTTCCATCCTCCCCACAACCCGTGACCCCAAACTAATCACAGGAAAAAGATCAGACAAGTCCCAAATGAGGGACATTCCACAAAATACCCAACCAGTCCTCCTCAAAACTGTCAGGATCACTAAAAATAAGGAAAGTCTGAGAATCTGTCACAGCTGCGAGGGCCCTAAGGAGACATGAGGGCCAACTGTAACATCATACTTTGGATTCTGAGGTAGAAAATGGATATTAAGGGAAAACTGAGGGAATGTGAATAAAGTATGGACTTTAGTTCCTACTACTGTATCGACATGGGCTAATTCACTGTGACAAAGGTACAGTATAATGTGACAGGGTAAGAGTAGGGGAACCTGGGTGTGGAGTATACAGGAACTCTGTGCTATCATCACAATTTTTCTTTATATCTAACAATGTTCTAAAATGAAGTTTATTTTAAAAATAAAAAATAAAGACAGGGGTCCTTGATATCAATAAACCCCATGAAAATACATTCATTAATAATCAGGGAAGCACCTCCCCCAGCACATGTGCATATGACACCCATGCACACACTCAAGCACACGTGCACATGACACCCAGGCACACACTCAACCCAAGCACATGTGCACATGCACACCTGTGCACACACACTCAACCCAAGCATGCATGCATGTGTGCATCTGTGCCCACAGTCAACCCAAACACGTGTGCACCTTACACCCATGACACACCCAACCTGAGCACATGCACACATGCTCAACACAAGCACGTGCACACATGCATACCCATGCACACACAATGCAAGCACATGCACTTCTGTGCACACACATGATGCAAACACATATGCATTGCATGCCCATGCCCATGCAGTCAACCCAAACACGTGTGCACATGCACATACTCAACCTGAGCACATGCACCCATGTACACATGTGCACACACACTCAACCCAAGCACACATGCACATGATACCCATGCACACACACTATGCAAGCACTTCTGCACATATGTGCATGTACACATGCACTCCATCCAAGCACATGTGCACATAGACACCCATGCATGCTCAACTAGAGCACATAAGCAGATACATACATGTGCACACACACACAACCCAGGTATGCATGCACATGCACGTCCATCTGCACACTCAACCCAAGCATGTGCACACACACACACTTGTACACACACACTCAACCCAAGCACATGTGCAGTTGCACGAATGTGCATACACAACCCAAGCACACACTCAACCCAAGCACAGCTCACCAGGGACAGAGGCCCAGGAACAGACTCTGACAAAACAATGAAGAGAATCCAAAAAGCAATTACACTGCCAAGTATTACGCAAACACAATTATTGGAATTGCTAGTCAAAAACGGTTAATAGAATAATTAAGATAGATTGACCTAAAAGCTGATTTTAAATTAACCTGACATGTGCATATACTATCTAAATAATACTCTTTCCTCTGATTTAGTCTCTCATTAAAATCAGATTTCATTGGGAGAAATTATACATTTGCACCATCATTGGGAAGAAGAAGCCATGTTCACTCACCCACTGATGAAAATAGGAGATTATTAGAGGAAGTAAAATGGGAATATATTTTCCTGGCCTTCCCTGGCACAGTGTGATCTGTCCCTGTAATAAACCACCGCTTCCTCCTAGCCTGCCACTCGGGAGGTGAGGGAAGCCAGTTAAGATGGCCTCAACTAAGGACCCCAAACCACTAGTGTCTGTGTGTGTCTGTGAAGCTCGCTCACGGGGGAAGGGCCCGTGGGGTGGGCAAGAGCAAGGAAGAGAAATGAGCACTTGGAGACGCCAGGCAACCAGGAAGACCCAGAGGAAACTCGGTACGTCTGCATTGAACACGTCTTCATGGGTGAGAAAACTGCAGCCAAGGAAGGAGAGGGATTGTTTCCAGGCAAACAGCAAGCGCTGGCAGAGAGGCAGGGACAGAGGCTGTTTTCGGCATCCAGCATCTCTGTTCAGCTCATGATTCCCTGCCACACCCCAGATAAAATGAACCCCTGTGGGGGTTTGTCTGTGCACGCGTCCAGGGCCTATCCTGGTCTGTGTGAACAGACTGGCCCTGCATCCCAGCACAGAAGCCTGGGCTGAGCACCAAAGGCCCCCAACTGCGGGAGGCAGGTCCTGGTCACTGCTCCCTCCACGGCCATGGCTCCAGTGTGCAGATCTCAGCTAGTGTCTAAAACACGAAGGCACTGGGTCACTACAGCTATGGGCCTCCTTGTTCATTGAAACCCTTGGAGTTACCTCGTTAACACTTTTTAAATGGATAGCCACTTCACATTTTTTAAGATAAAGAATTTCCCCATTAAAATTATTGAGATTCAGTAATAACACATTATTAGGATAAGCAGGACATGTAAGATGCTACAAAATGATCTATTACTTGGAGGATTTTAAAACCCTAATGAGAAAAACGCTCACTACCATTTATTCGTTCTCTTAGCCTTCAGCACCATTAGTCTGAGGAGCAGCATAGGGCTGGGGCTGGCTGCATCCACACTCACCCCTCTGATTGCTCCAGAACCTTTTCTTCAAAGAGAAATCTCTGCACTCTGCAGGGACGGTAAGTGGCGACCCTTAGGTAGCTGAAAGCACGGGGAAAAGAGCAGGAAGAGGTGGGAACATGGAGATGGAGAACACAGGGAGCGGCACGCTCAACGCAGGTGGAGTCTGTGTCCCCTCCAGCGATAGCCAGAACCAGGACCACCAGGGATCCGACATCACTGGCCCCATCCCGTAGGGTGGGCTGTGGGCAGGGAACAGCTGAATCGCCAGGCCACTCTCAGACCCTTGGCAGACACAAGGAATAACAGCTGTGGCCGCCGCTGTGGCCGCAGTCCCAAAGTTTGGAGAGAAATAGCAGCAAGTAGCAGCACCACTGTCCGTCAGCTTGAGTGCTTCTCGGACAAAGGAAGACAGTTCTCCTGTTTCCCAAAGACTTGCAAAGGCTGTGTGTTCCTCAGGCAGCTACTGCGCCATCGGCCTCTGAGTGATAAGGAAAGGAACCAGGGCTCAAACCTACTCCTGAGTGAGTCAAAGCAACTCCGCACTCCCTGCCAGCACTGAGGGTGACCCCCGAGCCCTGCTCAGGAGCTGTGGGGCCCGAGATCTCCCCTCCGCCCCGTGGGCAGGGGAAGGGCAGCAAAGGCTCTCTGCCACGCCTGTGTTCGGGCTCCAGAACTCTTGGCCTGGTGTCTGGAAGATGGGATTGCTGCCTTGGACAAGCCTCTCCTCCTTGCTTTTCCCTTTTTCTCACAGTGGGGTTTAAGCTAAGGTCCTATTCCTAGATCACTAATAATGATAGCAGGTGCCATTTATGAACACCTACTGTATCCCAGTGCTGCTCTCAGTGCTGTACCTGTATTCTCTCATCTCATTCTCTCAAGGGCCCAGTAAGGTAGCCACTTCATTAGCCATCTTTTACTAAAGAGCAGACTAGGCACAGAGACGGTAGGTCACTTTCTGAAGGTCACACAGCGAATGCAGGTGAGAACCAGGCTGTCCACGAAGGAAGTCTGACCCCTGATTGGGCTGTAATCACTGTGCTGTGCAGACACCCTCTCCATCAAGACCCTTCTGTGTTGCACCCCCCACCCCCACCCCCTTCTCTGCTTGGAAATGAAGTAGCTTTCAGGGGACTCTTATGAGGCTCCCGCCTCCCCAGGCTGGCCCCACACAGCCCCAAGACAGGAGCCCCCAGTGGCGCCTTGGTGGGCTTCTTGAGGGTTGCCTTAATCTTCCCCAGCCACCCACGGGAGACACCTGAGGTTTGTGGCTTGTGCCACGCGGCTCCAGGGCCTCCAGCACCCACCTGCAGACACGGCTTCAGCCGGCCCATGCTCCTTCTGTTTCTTTCGCTAGCTTGTTTAGGTTTCATTCACAAACAGTAAAGCCCATTCATGTGACAGTTGTATACAGTCATGTAACATCTACCACAGTCAAGATGTGGAACATTTCATTCTCCTAAAAAGTGTTCTCCTGCCCCTTTAGATTCCCTCCTCCAGCTCCCAGCCCCAGGCAGACAGTGATCTGATTCCTGTCCCTGTAACTTTGCCTTTCCTGGAAGCTCATAGACATGGAACAGTACTCTATCTCTTCCACTTAACTTGATGATTTCAAGACTTATCCATGTCGTGTAGGCTTAATATTTTGTTCATTTTTTATTAATGGGTAGTATCTCATAATATGCATGCACCGTAGGTTACCAACTTGCCTGTTGATGGGCATTTGGGCTGTTTGCAGTTTGGATGTATTACAAATAACATTGGTGTGAGCACTTGTGTCCACGTCTTTGTGTGGACATATGTTTTCATTTTCCTGGGGTAAATATTTAGGATTGGAATTGCTGGGTCATGTGGTAAGTGAATGTTTTACCTCTTAGATAGTGTCAGTCCATTTTCCAAAGTATTTCCATTTAAAATTCCAACCAAATTTCATGCATTCCAATTTAAATTGTATGTAAATTCCCATTGTTCTATATCCTTGTCAACACTTAGTATTGTCAATCTTTTTAACTTTAGACTGCTTTTAATGTGTACTCCTCTGATGGCAAGTGACGTTGATCATTTTTTCATGTGCCTATGGGTCATATATCTTTTTTGTCATGTATTTGTCCAAGTCCTTTTCAATTTTTAACTGCAGTTTTCAAATTATTGATTTATAAGATATCTTCATATATTCTGAGTACAAGCCCATTGTCAGATGTGGATTTTGTAAAATTATTCTGCCAGTTTGTAGTCTGCTTTTGCATTCCCTTAACTCTGTTTAATTTTGAGCAACCTTTTCAATTTTGCTGAATTTGTTTTATCATTTTTTATCATCTGTGCTTTCACATCTTGTTTCTAAAAAATGTTTATTCTAGCCCAAGTCATAAAAATTCTTCTGTATGTTTTCTTCTAGAACTTTAAAAGTTCTAATAATTTTCAGTCCATGATCCATCTCAAGATAATTTTGCATGTGGTGGGAGGTAAGGCTTGAAGGTTATTTTGTTTTTCCATGTAGATATCAACTTATCCTGGCACCATTTATTGAAACAGCTAGTTCTGAAAGAATTAAATTTTTACCTTTACCAGCAATCAAGGGACTATATAAATGTGGGTCTTTCTGACTTCCCCTTCGGCTCAGTTGGCCTCTGTGTCTTTCCTGATGCCAAAACCACACTGTCGTGATTACCATACCTGTATAGTAATTTTTGAAATCAAGTAGCGTGGGCCCCACAACCTTGTTCTTATTTTTCAAAGTTGTTTCTGGATATTTTAACCCTTTTGTCTTTCCATGTAAATCTTAGCATCAGCTGTCTCATTTCTTCAAAAGGACCATAAGTGGCACGGTAGTATATTGATGAGCAAAGACATACAATCGATTTTTCTATGAAAGTTAAATGCTGCAACTTGGCTAAACTAATTTTATTTGTACTAATAGTTTGGTTTTTATGGTGGTAAAATTCACATATTATAAAATTCACTATTTTCACAATTTTGAAGTGCACAATTCAGTGGCATCCAGTGCGTTCACCACGTTGTCGGCCCCAGGACATTCGCATCACCAAGAAAGGAGACACCACATCAATCGAGGTGTCACTCTCTGTTCCTCCCTTCCCCCAGCTCCTGTCACCACTAACCTGCGTTCTGCCTCTTTAGATCTGCCCATTTCGTATAACTGGAATCATATAACATGCGGCCCTTTGTGTCCGTCTTCTTTCACTCATCATGTTTTCAGTTTCAAGGTTCATCCATATTGTGGCATGTTAGGGCTTCATTCCTGTTTGTGGTTGATGAGTAGACCACGCTTTCTCAGTGCCTATGCTAGTTGTTTGTAAGTTTCTTAAGATACTTCCTCATACATGATTCATGATATCTGCATAAAGAGGCAGTTCTTCTTCTCCCTTTCCAGTGTTTATGCTTTAACTTTAATGTCATTTAAAGCTACCTGTGTCTCTGTTCTTCAAGTGCAATTTTGGAAGACAGCATGTGTGTGGGTCTTGTTTTCATATCTATTCTGACAACCTCTGCGTTTTACCTGAAATCTTTGGTCCACTCATATTTAAATAAGTATTGACATGGTTATGTCTGGGTCTGTAATTTTATGCCTCGCTCTCTATACATACCCTCCAGTTCCCCCCTTTGTTTCTCATTTCTTAACTTTTTTTAGGGTTACGTGAATATTTACTGATTGATTTTTCTCCTCATTATATTTTGTGAATATACGTGAATATTTATTGATTGATCTTTCTCCTTATTAAGCTTTTTCAGCATGGTATCACCTCAGTAGTAGAGCATAATCAGTCCTAGACTAATTTAGGCCCCACCCAAAAAAGCTTAAAATCAAGCCTCAAATATATCAAATTGTTTCCAAGTAAAGTAACTTCATCCCTGAAAAGTTTTAAAATAATTTTAGGAGTGCAAAACTATCCAGGATCTAACAAGGAAAAGTACATGATGTCTAGCATACAGTAAAAAATCACCAAGTATGCAAAGAGGCAGGAAAACACATCATGTAATGAGGAATATCAACAAATTGAAACTAATTCACAAATGGCACAGATGAGGGCATTCCTAGACACAGATGAACTGTAGTTATTATCACTCTATTCCACATGATAACGTTAAGCAGAGATATGAAAAACATTAAAAAGTCCCAATTCTAACTTTTAGAGATGAAACCATTTCTGAGATAAAGAAAATTCACTGGATGAGATGATGAGATTAGACAGACACTACAAAAGGAAAGATTAATGAACTTAAAGGTATATAATAGAAACCATCCAAAGTGAAACACAGACAGAAAATAGACCCCTTCAAAAGGAGCAGAAAGCTAATTGGGGGGCAACTTCAATTGGCCTAAAATTCATACATTTAGAGTCCCAGAAAGAAAACAAAGAAAAAAAAACAGAAAAAAAAGGAGGACATAATGACTGAAATCTTTTGAAATTTGCTTTTTAAAAGCTACATATCCCAGTCCAAAAAGTATGAAGTACGAAGAAGGCACATCTTAACCAAACTGCTTAAACTGGGTAAGAACGAGACAATCTTAACAGCAGGCAGAAGAAAAGAGACGTGCTGGGTACAGAGGAACAAAGACAAGGATGACGACAGGTTTCTCCTTGAAAATGAGGCGAGCTAGAGGACAGTGGAACAAGCTCTGCAAAGTACTGCCGGGAAAAGCCTGTTGATTTGTGATTCTGTACCTGGCAACAAAGGTAGAAACAGGGTGAGATATCAAGTTTTTCAGACATATAAAAGCTAAAATATTAATCATACCAGCAGATAAGCACTAAGAGATATTAAAGAAAGTCCTTTGGACAAGAGGAAAATGACATTATAGGAGACCCGATAGAAGCACAGGAAGGAAAAGCATGTTTTGCTGGGTATAGAACATGTAGAGAAATAAAATATGTGCCCACAAGGACATGAAGGAGGGCAGGGAATGGAAGTGTGCTGCTGTAAGGTTATTAAACCATCATGATGTAGTGTAATATTATTTGAAGATAGATTATGATAAGTTGAAGGTGCACACTATAAACCCTAAAATGTATACACACACACGCACACATACATATGTACAGACAGAGTTATGGGGAATAAGCCAACAGAAGTGATTAAATGGGATGATTAAAAAATACCCAGTCCAGAAGAAGGCTGGCTAAGAGGAACAGGAAACAAAAAGTAGACAGGATAAATAAAATGCAAATAGCAAGATGGTGGTTTAAGTCCAACCATTATCAACAGTGATGGTAGATGAAAATGATCTATAACCATTGGTCTAATTCAGTGGCAGTTTGTCAGACTTAATAACAAAGCAAGACCCAACTAATTGCTGCCTACCCAAAACCCACTTTAAATATAAATTCACAAATACATGAAAACTAATGGGATTTTAAAAGATACACTGTACTAACACTAGTCAAAAAAAAAAAAAGCGGGAACAGCTATATTAATATTGAACAATGAACACAACCAGCATTATAAAGAAGGTCATTTTGTACCAGCCTTTAGCTGGGCTTCTTTTATCTGCTTTGAGTGTGTGCAGTTCAGGGCCAGTCGGAAACATGAGTAGAGTCCGCCAAGTTTCCCCTTCTGGACGCTCCCCCCCTCCACTGGCCACAGCTTCCCCAATTTCGTCCTGCTCCTGTTCCAGGCCATGAAGACTGTGGTCTTCCCTGAGGACCCCCAGCTCCTCATGCCCTAACTACATAGTGCTCAGGCTAACAGCCACGGTCAAAGAGAACGTGCTTCCTGCAACTCCTTTATCCCCCGTGTACACCCCAGGTCCGTCTTGCTGTTCACTCTCCAACGCCCACAAGCAGCCTGTTTGCATTGTGTACAGATTTTGAAGCTGTTTTCTGTAAGGGAGTGGGTTTGGTGTGATCTTACAAAATCCTTACAGGAAGCAGAACCAGCAATTACCCATCCACTTTTAGAACTGCCTTGTGCATGAACCTTTTGTCCTTTGAGTCACACTTGGAAAAAGTGTAGGCTTCGTCTGTTGCAAAGGTCATGGTGGCTTCACTCCAAGAAACTTGAGAAACAGTTATTGTTTTAAACAGGGCACAACTGCAGTGTCCTGAGGAGCCCTGCATGGCCATGGAGTTTGCTGGATGAGGGATATGGACGGGCTCCTGCAGCGAGAACAGAGACAGAGAGGGAGAGGGAGAGACAAAGAGGAGACAGAGAGGGAGAGGGAGAGACAAAGAGGAGACAGAGAGGGAGAGGGAGAGACAAAGAGGAGACAGAGATACAGGCAGAGAGAAGTGGGAGAGACAGAGGAGAGAGAATATCTGGCAAACACATTCCACTTTCGGATTCCTGCTCTGGACATGGAGGCCTGCTCTTCTCCATAAGCCCTCTCCCTTCCTTCAACGTCCTCGGGAAAAAGCGAAGCAGACCCTTTTCCCTCCCTCGCCCTCCTTGCCCTCCACAGGGGCTCTTTCCCATAACCTGCTGGCTGGTCTCTGTGGCTGAGTTCTGCCCATCCAGGAATGGACTCACCAGTGTCCCGGTCCAGCCCCATCTCCCCTCCACACTCAGGAGCTCCTCGGGTGAACTCGGTGCTAGCCAGGCACTCAGCACCAGGCTCGCAGGCTTCTTCCCAACACCTCCAGCCTGTGCCCCACCTGCACCCACACCCATCATTCTGCTCCGGGCTCTGCCCCGAGGCCCCCAGTTCCCTGAGCTCGCCCATTCTCTGGCCTTCACCCACACTATGGCCTCTGCCTGGCCTCCCTCAGCCGTGTGGACGCCTCCTCTCAGCATCTAGGATCTAGGCCCATCTCCACGCCGTCTCAAAGACGCTGGGCTGCTGCCCACTGTGAGACAGGAGCCCCCTCTCTGTTCCACACCACCCTTGACAGGCACTTACCAGGCCCGTCCACCTCATCTGGTGGGTCGTGTCCGTCCTTTCATCAGATAGCAAGTCCCTCAAGGCCCAACTCCCTGAGCCCCCATCCCCCTCTTTGTCTCTCCTCCAGGGATTAGTGTCACCCCTGATCCCACTCCGGCTTGGCCTCACCCACAACAGCTGGCACCCACCTTGGCCCTCCTGGCTGTGGCCTTGACCCCTGGTGTTCATCCTGGCTCAACCCCTGGCCCTGGTTCTCTTGGTGCCACCTAAACAGTCTACACTGTCTTGTGTTCACCTTTTCTTTAATTATTTGTTTAGCAGAGCAGAGCTGATTTTACAAATATAAATCCGCCGGGCGTGCTGGCTCACCCCTGTAATCCCAGCACTTCCGGAGGCCGAGATGGGTGGATCATGAGGTCAGGAGTTCGAGACCAGCCTGACCAACATGGTGAAACACTGTCTCTACTAAAATTACAAAAATTAGCCAGGCGTGGTGGCGCGCGCCTATAATCCCAGCTACTCAGGAGGCTGAGGCAGGAGAATCACTTGAATCCAGGAGGCGGAGGTTGCAGTGAGCTGAGATCACGCCATTGTACTCCAGCCTGGGCCACAGAGCAAGACTCTGTGTTAAAAAAAAAAAAATATATATATATATATATATATAATTGTTTGACCAAATGCAGTGATTTCTCCCAGTTTGAGAAATAACTCTTCTTTATAAAGTCATGTTTTGGTGAAGCAGGGCTGGGTAAACCTGCGCCACAATGGGTGGGAGCCCGCAGGAGACAGGCCCTCGTCCAGCAGTGTCCAGACAGCTGCATGGAGCAGAACACGCAGCCCTCACCCTAGAGCCCCGACTTGGGTCATGGGGGCTTAGAAAGAAAGAAAGGAAGAGACAAGACTGGATAAGAACCGGGTTTGGTCAAGGAAAGGAGGGGTGGACGTGCAAAGCCCTCCCGTGCGGGAGCCCTGGGACGGGGGCACCATCCCACAGCCCCCCGGCAGCCGCCGATCCCCCCGACACAGCCCCCCGGGAGCCGCCGATCCCCCCGACACAGCCCCCCGGGAGCCGCCGATCCCCCCGACACAGCCCCCCGGGAGCCGCCGATCCCCCCGACACAGCCCCCCGGGAGCCGCCGATCCCCCCGACACAGCCCCCCGGGAGCCGCCGATCCCCCCGAGACTGGCCTGCACCTGCACATCTGGGGGGCGGGGCCCCGAATTGTCCTGCCACAGTGGCCCCGCCGGCAGGGAGATCAGAGGAAGAAATAAAACCCTCAGGCCTCACCTGGGATCCAGATTCGAGGCCGGAAGAGCAGACTTTGCCGGGGGCACTCACGCAGATCCCCACGTCTCAGGGCACCGCAGTCCTATTACCATAAGCGATCATGCAAAGGTGTGGTAAAAGCCATCTGTCATTCATAAAATGTGATGATGCCTTTCTGCAAAGACATAAGCCATCCCAGGGCTCAGCCAAGAAATGGCCATAAAATCTGGCATAATGACCTCAAAGCACACTTTCCAATATAAAGGTTATTCTAGGCAGCTGTTTCCTGATTATTTACGTGCAATAATTTTACACCCCCCAGACTCTGACACGCTCACAGCCTGACGCCCTCTCTCATCAGCAGCACTGAAGCGTCTGTGCGGAATTCTTACGATGTCGTGTTCCCTCAGCACCCATTTGGGGCTTTGTCCTCCCAGAATCGGGGCTCAGTCACCCTTGACACAGTTTCCAGTTCTCTGCCTTCCCCCAGTATCTCAGGGTGGTCCCTCCAGACACCTGCCTTACTCAGACGTCTCCTGGTGACCACCCCGCTATGGGACAGCCCACAGGACTCGCCCAGACCCCACACCCTGCAAGGACTGTGTAGCTGTCCCACAGCAGACCCCTCCCAGTTCCAGTGTGACCTCGTGGGGCTGTGGCCCACTGGCTGAGTGCACCCACCAGAGCTTCCTGTGGGAACCTGCTTGGGCAATACCCTGGACCCCAGTGAAGGCTTTGACCACAGCCCCTGTCCCTCTGGCTGTGTGCGTCCAAGACAGCGCCCCGTTCCCACCACCAGCCCTGCGAGGGGGCTGCCCTCTTCTCTCTGGATCTGTGAGTCACGCTGTTAACTCCAGCATTTTGTGGAGTTGCCACCTGAGTCTCACCTGACTGGCACACCTCAACCCACCTCTCCTCCCGTCGGCGTGGTCCTTTGGCGTGGCTGTCTTGGCTGGAATAAACTGCATGCAGGTGTCAGCCAGTCTCCTGTGACAGGGACACTCGGTCCCGGGTCGGACACCTCGGCCTTAGGCCGTCCACCAGGACAAAGAAGGGCCGACCTCTGGAACCCCAGGTTAGTCGCCTGGAAAAGGGAGGAACGGTCACCACGACACTGCCCCTGCCCGCAGCTTAGGGACGTTTCTGAGGTAAACGAGATAATGGTTGGAGTGTTGAGCACAGTCTGGCCACAGAGAACGTGAGAAGCCATTGCCAGTGTCATCATGTGGTAATTGGGAAGTTTCCGTGAACCGCTGCAGCAGGGAGTTTAAAGAAGATCAGCAGAGGCCAAAGACTCCTTAGCGGCAGGGAGGGGAGGGCAGAGAAGAAATCAGGTGGGGGAGGTCGAAGGGAAGTGGGAACGGCGGGCACAGACGTCCCTGAGCCCGGATCCTGGTGCCCTCACCCTAAGCCAGCAGCCCACGACCACCCAGAGGCCAGGAGGCCCCCAGAGCCCCCAGCACCCACGGCTCCCTCCAGTGGGAAGAGTAGGATCAGCCCAGAGCCCCTGCTGAGCCTGGACAAGGGGAAGGAAGGGGAAGCTCAGCGTGGTCACCCGGCAGTTTCTCCACTCTGAACCGCGTGCTGGGGGTCACGGGGCTCCCGCTGCTGACGAGGAAGCAGGGCCCACCCTGTCCAGCCTCGGCCTCTGCAGACCTGAGCGCAGCCCCACGTATCCCCACGATGGTTGCCGTCCCTGCGTGGGTTTTATTTTCTCCACTCAGCGTCCTGTGACCACAGAGATGGCGTGAGGTAGGAAGCTGTACAGCCCCAGCACGGGGCCCACGAGAGGAAGTCTCCAGCAGCAGCTAATCCTGGGCGGAGATGACAGCCCGGAGCCTTGGGCTGTTTAAACTCCAGCTGCACGGAAAGCCTCCAGCTGAGAGAGTTTCCCAGAGTCTGTCCCCGGGGTCGAGCCTTCGGGGGCCAGGCCATGGGAGCTGGGTCTTCCTGTGCCTGGAGCCTTGTCCCCTGCGGACCTGCAGTGTGGCCAGATGATGAGTCTTGCACTGAGCAGAACTCCTTGGGCCTTAGGGGGTTCTGCCACCACCCAGCCATCATTGGCAGGGCAGGGAAGGCCGGCCCACACCCAGGTCTCGCTGCCTGGACCCTCTGGGGGAGCAAGCTTTGAGCAGGAGAGGGGCCAGGAGCCCCTGAGGAGCAGGAGCGAGGGCTCAGAGCCACAGAGAATTCCTCAGCCAGGCCTGTGACAAACACAGCTGCCACTCCTCTTCCAGCCCCACTGCCCCAGCCACATCACATTGGTCCTGGTCACTCGCAGGGAAGGGCACTCACTGTCCAGGGAGAAAACCCATTCCTTTCCTCTGGTTCTCTTCCCCAAAGACATGCAAATACTTTTTCCAGGAATTTTCTAACAGCAATGATGCACGGACCCTTAACTTTAAACTGACCTAGAGGCCCAGGAGAGCCCAATTATTTCTGGCACAGGCACCTGGGCACAGGGTCTGGCCTGGTTCACTCTGGAGTGCCTGAGTCATGGTGGAAATTCAATATTTGTTAAGGAAATTGGCAAAAGGATGAATGAAGAAAGAGAACATTGCACGGTGTGTTCAAAATGTCCGCAGCTATATTCCGCTGTGAATTCAGGAGCTTGTTCCACAGTGTGTTCAAAACGTCCGCAGCGACATTCCGCTGTGAATCCATGAGCTTGTTCCCCGGTGTGTTCAAAACGTCCGCAGCTACATTCTGCTGCAAGTTCAGGAGCTTGTTCCTAGGTGACTCCGGCACATAGGCTGGAAACACTACACTCACCGGGGGCTCAGCCCCGCACACCTGTGTGGGGAGGGAGCGGGGAGCGTCGGGGAAGAAGGAGGGGCCCGCCCCGTGAGACTGCGGCCAGGTCCTGCCCACGTGCCTGCTCTGCTGGGCTTGCAGCCAGGCCACCTCCCTGGCCCGGACCCCTCAGGGCCTCTGGACAGGGGCTGCAGGCTGCCTCTGGACTCTGCTCCTGGACTGGCCTCTGCTGGACGGCGGCGCCCTGCACCTCAACAGCCAGCCACACCAGGCATGGCCGTCACCTACAGGTGAAGCTACAAATTTAACCTCATATAAGGGAATATAACCATGGCCAAGGAGCGAGGCAAGGCTTTTTAAACAACATGTCAACAGCACAAATCAGAGGCAAGTGAGAACCAAGTTTTAAAAAGATGAATGTGGTATAATCAGCATTAAAGTTTCCTGTTCGGTCTGGGACTCCTTGGACCAAGCATTACTGGGAGGCAACCTGAATGCCCTCGGTGTGAGCGTGGAAAGATGGCAGCTTCAAGGCTGGGCTCCGCAGTGGGGCAGGCCCCGCCCTGGACGAGCACGCGGCCACACAGAGGGTCCTCTTGAGCACGGTGACTCCCGTACCCGTAACAGTCAGGCCGATTCTTCAAGAAAACATACAAACTAAAAGATGTCAAACACAGCAAATTGGCTGCCCATGGAGAAGGGTGGGAACCAAGAGAGGCACTGGCAGGAAAGGGGACCAGTCGGTGAGTGGAGAGAACCTGAGGGTCTGTGGGGCCAGCTTTCCCAGGTGCTAAGGAACAGGACCTCAGATCTCTGAAGCTAAGGGCTGGGGGAGCAGAGGAGGGAAGATGGGAAAGAGGGAGGGAGGAGTAGGGAGGGAGTGGGAGGTGGAGAGGAAGGGAGGAGGGAGGAGGGAAGGAGAGAAACGGAGGGAGGGAAGAGGGCGGAAAAGACAGGGAGGAGGGAAGGAGAGGCAGGAGGGAAGGAGGGGGGAGGAAATGCAGGAAGGAAGGAGAAGGAGCAGGGAAGGAGAGAGGACGGAGTAAAAGGGAGGAGAAAAGGAGAAGGAGGGAGGGAAAGGGGTGGAGAGGGGCAGGGGAAGGGCAGGGAAAGGCGGTGATAAGAAAGGGCATGCGAACCTGATAAAGCCAGACCAGGGTGTCCGATGTGCATCCATTTCCTCTGATAATAGGCTCCTCCCCAATAGCACAAACAATAAAGAGGAAAAACACGATACTATTTTAGGAATGGAGGTAAGTACGTGAGTGGAGATTCCAGCATCATTTGAAGATGACCAGGCAGCCCGCAGCAGTGGGGACCTCAGCGGCCCTCTGTGAACCCAGGGTCCCAAACACGCATCGGGAGACCCAGCAGTGGATCCTGACAGGTACATCACACCTGGAGTGGGAAATGCCTCTCTCTTCAAGAAGCCGTGAAACCTCTTCTTTAACTTGAACTTATGTCAAATCCCAAGAACACTTAGACCATATTCTCCAGCCAAAATCCACAAAAGGAAGAAAATAATAGCAATTGTAGAAGCAGAAACCCTAACATCCTGAATAACAAGTAAGCAAACAAAATGCCTCTTGAACAATTCTTGGGTCAAGTGGGACAACAGAGTCCAAATTTCAGAACCACCACAAATAACAATTATGGAATATGATCTATCAGAACCCGAACAATGTGACTAAAACTGTCTCAGAGAAAAATTCACAGCGATAACAATTACGTTAGCAACAACCAAATACAAACAAGTAAATTATTCATTCAACTGACAAAATTAGACTCAAGAAAATAAAAAGAACAGGATAAATGTAAGAACCAAGAAGAAGAAAATAAGATGGTAAAAGTGTGTGATTTGAAGCAGGAGACTCAAAAGCGTGCTCGTGTGGTGGGCCTTTGAAATTCACCAGTGAATAAGCCTGTGTCTACCCTAATTCAGGAACTGTGAGGACGGCATGGACACACACGTGCACACGAGTCTAACGACATGGGAAACAGTTACGACAGAAGCACACACAAGTGCATAATTTACAGATTCCATGCAAATACTTTAAATTCTAAATAATATGGGTGATTATCCCAGGCAAATATGAATTGCCCCAACTAACCAAAAGGAAACAGAAAAGTAAGCAGACTATTATTAACCGCAGAAGAAATTGAGAAATCTATTAAAACCCAGCCCACTCACCTCCGAAATTCTACGCCCAGATAAATCACAAATTCACTAATTCAAAATGCTGGTGCACCAATCTTTACAATATGATTAAAATTTCCTATTCATGAGCATAAAGAAAGAAAACCCTGTGTTCTTCTTAGGATTCCAGCATAATATTTGCACCAAAACATTGAAAAGTTGCACATACACATGAAATGAAACATACCAGCTATGGTAATAACGTCCTCACACATTACTTCATGTGGCAGATTAAAGACTCACACGTGTAACGACCACCTCTCGGCTTCAGTTGAGGTTTCCAAGCACTTTAAAACAAGTTCAGTATTAGGAAATCTACCAATATAATTCAATGAAATAATACATCACAAAACAACCACTTCACCAGGGCAGGAAAGGCAGACAGCGTGAGCCACAGAGCAGCCAGCCATGACGGAACCATGTGCCATCACACTTCTGCCCCTGGGGGACCCCGGAACCCCAGAAATCAACCCTAAACCAGGCCCACCCATCCCAGCAGCACCCAGGGAGGCCTGGACGGTCACCACACACCCACAGCCACCATGGCAGCAGCCAGCATTCCCCTGCTGGGGGCAGGCAGTATCCGCTCCTTGGAGGGTGAGATGCCTCAGACCTGGGTGGGCCTCATCCATACACTTCCCAGCAACCGTGCATCTCGGCTGGCAGCCTTCACTCCCGGAGGGGTGGGTACCGGGGTGGAGGGACGGCATAGGGTGATCCGCAGCTGCCCTGAGGGTGCCCCAGCCTGGCTGTTTACCTGAGCCTGTTCCTTTCCCCAGAAGACCAAAAAATCATGAAATAAGAGCTACAAAGATGGGAAAGAGGCAAAATTCCCATATTTTGCAGATGGTTTGAGATTGATCTGGAAAACACAGAGGATCAACTGCAAGGCTGTAAGAAACAGGAGCACTTAGCATAACAAAATGAACACTAGTCAATAGTCACCGATATCCACTTAGAAAACAGGAAAATAAAGGGGGAAAATCTCATTCACAATAGCAGAAAGACACATAAAATCCTGATGGTGGGGAATTCAGTGAGAAAGGTAGAGTTGTTGAAGGAAACGGCAAAACTCTCCTGAGGAGCATTTTAGAAGCAATAAATGGAGACTTAGATTTTAGACTAGAAAACGCACATTGCAGAGTTGGGAAGACTGGATTTTTTTTTTTTCATTGAGCATCTGTATTTCTATACATGGAAAAGGACCATAAAGTTATTTTCAATGAGTTACTATTATTATCATTATTACTGTCATGAGAGGCGAAATCTTACAGCTGATGATTTCAGGCAGACTCTAGTGCCGGGCCTCAAGTCACAGGATCCTTCTCCCCCACCTCCTGGCCTGATCCTTTTCCCATCTCTGAGCCTCAGTCTCCTCCTCTGTGAAATGGACACAGTGACGGTAACTCCTTGGTGGCCTGAGGACAGGTGCACACGCAGGAAGAGCCCCACCTGGCGGGCGCCAGGAAACCGCAGCTCAGCTCCCACTGTCAGGTGTGTCCTCCGGTGGGAAGGGGCAGGCGCAGGCGGGAACAGCCCCTGCTAGCTGGGGTTCAGCAGGGCCATGCTGTGCAGGGATGGGGACTCCTGGCTCAGGGACCTGCTTCCCGGGTCCTACACGGGCTTTATGCTAGTTTATAATATGACTTGGGGCAGCCGCCCCCCCGAGGCTGGGAGGAGGCCTCAGGAGATGGGGATCACTGGTGATGCCCGGAGGAGGCAGCTTGCAAGAGAGTGGGCTCAGCAGCGTGGGAAAAGAGGGGCCAGGGTGTCCTTCAGCTAAATGAGCTGCTTTTTCCCAGGGCAGCAATGGTGCAGCCTTTGGCACCCAGCTTCTCACTGTTGGCACCAAGAGAGCCTCTGGGCAGTGCGGGCTGGTCCAGTAAAGACAGGGGCCTCAGCTCTGGGGCTCAGCAGGCCTCTGCTCTTAGCCCCACGCCTGGAATATGAGCTTCCCATGCCTGCCCCTTGAGGTCCAAGGTCAAAGTCAAGGTCAGCCTGCAGACGGTTGGGCTCGGGCTTGCTGGTGATCCTTTCTCACTGGCCACAGGGGAAATAAACGCTGAGGATAGGGCTGCTGTTCCCACTCACACACCGGGGCCATCAGGCCTCCCAGGGGAGACACTGGCAAGAGCGGATGTGATTCTGGGAGAAATCCCTCTGATATCCAGTTCTCGCCTTGCACAAAATAAGGGAAATTAAAGGTTTCAATAGTACTGATTAGACGAGAGTTCTGCACGGCTGACTGTGGTGAGAACATTCCCATGTAAGCTGGCTGCTCTGTTTTCCAGGCCTGATGCGATCATTTGTGCAGAACCGCCTTTAATATTAATGCTGGCGGTGGGCCCCGTGGCCTCTCTGACTCTGCCTCCCTGGCCCCTCCACCCTGTGCTGGCATCCACCGAGGTCTGCATCCTGCATGTGTGGGCCACTGTCCCAGGGGTGGGCTTCGAAGAGACCCTGCTCCCCTCCAGGCTCCTGGCAGAGTGCATTGGTAACCCCTCTTAAAGAGACACGGTGGAAAGAGGGCCTCCACCCTCCTGGACATCAGGACGAGACGTAAAGTCTCCGTGCTCCTTCAGCTGCACGCAGATCGTCACTTTGCAGATGTGAAAACTGAGGCCCAGAGGGAGAAGGGGGCTGTCAAAGATCACATGAGGAGCCTCACGCAGGGCCAGGACTGCAACCCTTTTCTCTAAACATACTTTTAAATTAAAGTGTGTGGCATACCCAGGGATTATAAAACACAGATATTATAAATGTAGAGCTTCATAAACTGAAAACACTGGTGTAAGCCATACTCAGATCAAGAAATAAAAAGCTACAGGCCCCTGGAAGTCCCTCAAGTGCCTCTTCTCATCAACATTCCCCAAAGAATAACCACTGTCCCCACTTCTGAGAACATGACATCATGAATTCTGACATCAGGGCTCTGGCATCATGGCTCTTGACCTCATGACATCGTAACTTCCTACATCACGACATCATAACTTCCTACATAACGACATTGTAACTTCCTACATCATAACTTCTGACATCACGACATCGTAACTTCTGACATCATGACTTCTGACATCAGGTCTTGAGGCATCATGGCTTCTGGCACCATAACCTCTGAGATCAGAGCTTTGGCATTATGACATTATAACATCTTTTTTTTTTTTTTTTTTTTTTTTGAGACAGAATCTGGCTCTGTCGCCCAGGCTGGAGTGCAGTGGCGCGATCTCGGCTCACTGCAAGCTCCGCCTCCCAGATTCACGCCATTCTCCTGCCTCAGCCTCCCGAGTAGCTGGGACTACAGGCGCCCGCCACTGTGCCCGGCTGATTTTTTTGTATTTTTAGTAGAGATGGGGTTTCACTGTGTTAGCCAGGATGGTCTTGATCTCCTGACCTCGTGATCCGCCCGTCTCGGCCTCCCAAAGTGCTGGGATTACAGGCGTGAGCCGCCACGCCCGGCCTCCATGATCTGTTTTTAATGGAATCACTTGGTGTGCATTCTTTGGCGTCTGATTTCTTTCACTCAACATTGTGTTTGTGAGATTCATTCATTCTTCTCATTTACTCCCATTGTTGTATTTGATGGTGTGACCAGACCACGGTTTATCCATTGGTGGACATGTGGGTTGTTTCCAGTTTGGAGACTGTCATGAATAGTGTCACTCTGCGTATTGCACATGCCTTTTGGTGAACTTGTTTGTGGATTTTTCTTGGGTATATACCTAGGAGCAGAATTGTTGAGTCATAGGCTAGGCGTACATTTAGCTTTAACAGATATGAAGAGACAATTTTCCCAAATCATTCTACAGCCTCACAGTTCACATCCACTCTGACCAACAGAAGCAGTTTTGGTTGATCCACATCTCTGCCACCACCTGCTATTCTCAATCTTCTACCTGTAGTCATTCCATTCATTGTGCATTATATTAATTTTCCTAGTTATTATCTGATTCACAGCAAATGCTTAGCTTACTAATTATTAGGTTTTCTGACATTCTAATTTTTGCATTGAAGTCACAAATTTCCATCCAGTTACGTCCTTACCTGTATCCCTTCTGTACCCCTGAGTGCAAGCTCTGGGCCGGGCTCTGCCTGGGAGAGCTTCCCTGGGTGCCTGGAGACCCTTGTCCCCCCAGAAACTGGGTCTTAGATCTGACAAGGAAGTGTGTCCCTCCCTGGGCCCAGCTCCCACTATAAAAGACGCAGGTGCCCATTCTGCCAGGGGCAGAGGGTTCCTCCCCGAGCCTGGGCTCCTGTGGGAGCCTGGGGACCCCTCTAACCTGCCACCATCCAGGGACACATCCCAACTCCACTGCCTGGCTCATGTGTCTGAGGAAGGGAAACACTCTCGTTTCGAGGATCGCAGGGTCCACCCTGTTCTTGCTCTAGACTGGGAGTGGGTGAACTGCCGAGACACCGGCCCCAGCTCTGCTCCTCAGCTAATCCACCCTCCCTGGACGTGTCCACCCTCTGCTGCCAAAACGCACAATAGCAGCACAGCCTCTCTGTGGCACAGGGCTGACAAGATCCAGTGATGGGGACTCCCCCCAAGAGGAGTGGGCACCTGGGTGTGTGCCGCTGCAGGTCGTCCGTCTGGGTGGGCGACTGGGTCTCCTCACCCAGCCCTGCTGAATCTGTGGATGTTGATCCTTTAGAAAGTGGCCGGTCCAAAGGGTAGTTGGTGACACAGCTCCAGACCCAGAGTCCCTCACACGACCCACACAGAGTGGCCCTGGGCAGAGAGCTCTTCCCTGGGGCCACCCAAGGGCACTGCCTTCATCTGGGGCTGGGGGAGACCATTCATTGGAGTTGTTTTCTGGGCACCTCCGGAGTTTGTCATATTTTAAGATGATATGAGAAGATCTAATTTATTGTACATATTTTATTTTTATCACAGATCACTGGTTGAACACATCTTTCTCTAGAGATATGTGATACCATTAACCCCTGCTGCAAACACATACAATTATTTCATAAATTCCAATTCTTTCAAGAGTAATTTATGTTTTCCCTGATATAATTGATGATTGCAGTTGTGCCACATGTTTTCAGTGATCATAGCTTCACACTGTGGTTTAATTTCTGACAGGGAATGCCCCTCCTAATATTCTTCTCTTAAAATGGCTCGTGCTTCTTCAAGCTCAGTTGCTTTCCAGATAAGCTTTTGAATCCCATTAGCATGTTTTAAGAGGGCCAAATATAATTTTGTTTCGACTTTATAAGTTCTTAAGTCAGGGGAGGATTAGTCTATTTGCTCATCAGCCTTTGTCTCCAGGGTGATGACATGTCTCTACACAGGTAAATTGTCTTAACCTCAGCAAGCCTGGGACCTTTCCCCACATGAAGCCTCTGCTTTAATACTGTTCTTAATACAGTTCCCGGCTAAGTTCATGTGTGGGTTGTTAGTATTGAGAACAGAACTAAGTTTGTCCGTATTACATTTTCTAATTTGTTACTGACTTTGTAGAGGAAATGTGTTCACTTTATGCATTTATGTTGTCATTGTTTTTACCGTGTATTTCCTCTTCCTGTCGTATTGCAGTGCGACCCGCTGGGTGCATCACTGAAGGAGATGAGACCAGCCTAGTCCTAGTGACTGCACAAGGCAAGAGGCTCCCCTCGATGTAACAGCAGGTGTTGGGAGGGTCTCCTCTCAGTCCCATTTGGGAGGACTAGGGCTGACCAACTGTGTACGTTTGTGCAGTCCAAGCTGTATTTCCAGCACTGCGCAGATTCACTGGGGTCGAAGGGCACGTCCCACCTCTCTGCCTAACCTCCTGGCTGTGTGGCCTTGTGGGAGGCAGGCATGGGTCTTTTCCAGCCACAGACACCACTCCCACTGCCCTTCTAGCCTGGCCCTGAATCCTAGGAATTTCACTCACAGCCAAGCATCTGGGATCCTTGGTCCAGGGTGAGTGCAGCAAGATGGGAAAGGGCACAGCCTGGCAGCCTCGGGAGAGAGCTGACCCGGAAAACCTGCCGGTGGCCTCGGAGGAGGGTGTTCCTCGGAGGGCAGGGTCGTCCTCTGATGCCGTGCTCAGCCCTGACCCTCCCATGACCCACCTGCTCTGTGCTCACTGGAAATTCCCCAAAATGCATCTCCGTGGGGCTCAACTCAGTTAAAAGGGAGCAAGTGAGCATCATGCAGATGGAAGCCTGACACAAACACCTCCCTCCGTTGGCCGTGCTTGGCCGGGGTGAGGACAGTGCTGAAAGCTCAGGGAAGGCAGAGCCCTGGACGACCACCCTTGCTCCTGTCTCAGGACACAGAGCCCTGGACGACCACCCTTGCTCCTGTCTCAGGACACAGAGCCCTGGACGACCACCCTTGCTCCTGTCTCAGGACACAGAGCCATGGACGACCACCCTTGCTCCTGTCTCAGGACACAGAGCCATGGACGACCACCCTTGCTCCTGTCTCAGGACACAGAGCCCTGGACGACCACCCTTGCTCCTGTCTCAGGACACAGAGCCCTGGACGACCACCCTTGCTCCTGTCTCAGGACACAGAGCCCTGGACGACCACCCTTGCTCCTGTCTCAGGACACAGAGCCCTGGATTGTCTTAGCCAGTGGTCTTTCCTTGCACAGGAAACAGGCCATGCAGAGACCCTGGCAGGCCACTGCTCCTCCCTGGCCTGGGTTGCAAGGGACAGGGGCCCTTGAGGATGGCATTCCTCCTATGGCCCTCGGCCTCGGACCCCCAGGGAGCTGTCTCCTGGCACTTCTTGGCAAGTCCACCCCATGGCCATCTGTGTTGGCTCAAGGCTTTCTTTCCCGTCGTTCTTCACATCTGGTGGCCAGGAGTTCTTCCCTGAAGATCTGGACCTGCCCATAGACCTGGGCTGGATTACAAAAAAAGAGGAAGCTGGCAAAATCCGCAGTGTGTCTTTTCCTCCAAGGACATTTAAAAAATACATGTGGGAAAAATCAGAGTTTCAAAAATGGCAAGTGTTATGAAATAAAGTGCACACGTCCTCTTTTCTGCACGAAACAGAAAGCACGCGGTTATTTTCAGCTCCCGGAGCTCCACTGGGAATAGGGTGGTAGAGTTGCCAATGTGTACACAGAAGGGTTCTTTTTTTATCAGCTGCTGAAGGCTCCAAGGATGGAGTGCGATTCTAAAGGGTGCATTAAGGCAAACATTGAGCTAACAGAGCGAAGGCTGCCAGCCAGCGGCGGAGATGGGCGTCCCTGGAACGCCTCCGCTTCCCCGGCTGCCCCGCCGCACTCCCAGGCTCCGCTGCCTCATGCACAAGGTCAGGATGCTGATGGGAAGACCCTGGGTTCCTAAGGAGGATTTGATGAGAAAACGCACAGGAGGTGCCAGCACACTGCCTGCCACACTCAACAAAGGCCATTGTTATTATTGTTGCTGCTATCATTAGTGTTCGTCTGCAGATTCCAGGGTGACATCACTTGACTCATTTTTTAACTGTGTATTTTGAGATAATTTTAGGCTTACAGAAAAGTTACAAAAGTTGCAAAAGTTACTTCTCCAGGGACCAACAGCCTGGAGGAGACCCTGTTCCTTGTGGAAACTGGCCGCACACCTCCTGCCTTGCACAAGATGTCAGGGAAGGGCGGTGGCTTTGGAGGCTTCAGGGAGTGAATGTCGACGGGGTCTGCAAGAGCTCCCAATGCCCAAGCTGGAGAAATTCTAGGAACAAAATAAATAATCGTAGCCCAGATGCTCCTGGACTGGTGGGGCCACATCCTGACAACCCATCGTAAGTTTAATATACCCCAGGGACATGGATGAAGCTGGAAACCATCATTCTGAGCAAACTATCGCAAGGACAGAAAACCAAACACCGCATGTTCTCACTCATAGGTGGGAACTGAACAATGAGAACACTTGGACACAGGAAGGGGAACATCATACACCAGGGCCTGTTGTGGGGTGGGGAGAGGGGAGGGATAGCATTAGGAGATATACCTAATGTAAATGATGAGTTAACGGGTGCAGCACACCAACATGGCACATGTATACATATGTAACAAACCTGCACGTTGTGCACATGTACCCTAGAACTTAAAAGTATAATAATAGAAAAAAAATACCCCAGGTCAAAATGCATTTAATGCACCTCATCTTCCGGGCATCATAGCTGAGCCCTCTCACCTCAGACATGCTCAGAGCGTGGATATGAGGCTGGCATTGGTAAAATCATCTCACACAGCTCACAGCTGCCTGAAGATGCTCACTCACCAGCTGCCAGCATTTCTGGGGCGGTCCTGAGAGGGTCTGCAGCTGGCGCACGAGGTGAACACAATGCTAAGGACAAAATTACACAAGGAATGTGCAAGAGTTCCACTGTTCACAGTGGGAATCACCTAATTCACACACAACCAGCTTCACAAAATGAGCTCCAGGCGGCCGGCTGGAGGGACGCGGAGGCCAGCAGGTGGAAGCCAGTGTTTAAAGCCACAGGTAGACGCGGCCTCAGCACCTTCCCGTTTGTGCCGGCCCAGAGGCACTGCCTGAGCACACCACCTGGGGAGGCTGCAGGTCTAAGCAGCCTGAAAGTGACCCTCACCAGGCCCTGAAGCCACCACTGGGTCGGGGGCCCAGCCTTCCTTCCAGTGCAGGGGCCCCACCCCAGCCGACTGCAGACTCAGGGTGCAAGCTTCCTCTGCTTGGGTACTCCTCGAGGTCCTCCTGGGCGTCCTGAGCTCCTCTGTGTGCATTTCCTATGCTGTTCACAGTCCTACTGCATGGCCCAGGAGGGAAAGGGAGGGGAGGGGAGGAGGAGAAGGGACTCTCCTTGCTCCCAAACTGCTGAACACTCAGCATCTGCCTCCTTTCTCAGCCAAAGGAAGGCCCTCGCCAAACACTCCTGACTATTGCAGTTGCTGGTCACCTACTCCTGTCCCACTCAATGGCTGCCCCCCGTCAGCCACCTGTGGCCCAGTGATCAGCTCACCTCCTGCACACACCATGTGGGCAGCTCACCAAGCCACCCTCCCCACCATTTCCAGGAAGGGCCAGGACTCACAGAAAACAGGCTTGTTTGTGAGCCACGCGGTCACTTACACTTTGCAAAGCGGCGTGGGCGCTTCTATTCTGAAGCATCCGCCGAGGCTTGGAACACACCCAGCCGGCAGCTGTCTGCTCCACTCGCTCCTCTGTTTTGGGGAAGGGCCTCTGGCAGAGGGAGTATGAGGCCTGTGGTTCTGACGGGAGGAACAAGGGTGTCTGAGGGACCAGGGAGGAGGGTGGGAGACTGTCAGGGGGACTTGCAGACCACAGTATTCATTTCTTACAGCCCCCGGACAATGTGGCAGCTTGAACAACACCCATGTATTATCACAGTCGGAGAGGGTTGGCTCAGCGGGGTACTCTGCTCTCATAGGCCAAAGTCAAGGTGCCAGTGGGCCGTGCTCTTGTCTGGGGCTCGAGGAAAGAACATGCTTCAGGCTCACTGGGGGCTAGAGGACTTCTCCCTGTGGCTGAGGGACAGAGGCCCCACTCCCCTGTGGGCTGTCAGCTCAAGGCTGGCTGCATCCGCCTTCTCAAAGCCAGCAAGGGCACCCTGAGTCCTCCTCACGCCGAGTCCTCTCTGCCACCCTCTTCCGCCTGCATCCAGAGGACGCTCTCTGCTGTCAGGGCTCCCCCAGAAACCAGGATAACCTCCCTCGTTTAAGGCCAACTGTCCAGAGAACAATGTGCCTCAGGGCGGCCTCTCATCACACTCAAGCTTCTGGGGGTGAGTGCGGGACATCCTTGGGGGCCTCCATAGCCATCGTGAAGGTGGCTTTTCCTGACCTAGCTGGATGGGGACCTGCTGGAGAGACGGGAGCTGAGAGGGGTCTGAGCTGACATGTATTTTTGGAAGAAACCTCTGGCTGCTGTGTTGAGACTAGACTGGATATAGATACAGCTCATGTATATTGTTCATTCACAGAGCACTTTCACCAAACACCCACATTCCAGCATTCCTGAGTGTGGCCTGCTACCTCAGAACAGAAAGCGGGAGAAGGAGAGCTATATCATCATCTTTCTGTCTATCTATCCATCTATCATCTATCTATCATCTATCATCTATCATCTATCTATCTACCTATCTACCTATCATCTATCACCTATCTATCTATCTAACCTATCTACCTATCATCTATCATCTATCTGTCTCTGTCTCTATCATCTATCATCTATCTATCTATCATCTATCTATCTGTCTCTATCTATCTATCATCTATCTGTCTCTATCTGTCTCTATCATCTATCTATCTGTCGCTATCTATCATCTATCTATCTATCATCTATCACCTATCCTCTATCATCTATCATCCATCTATCTATCATCTATCTGTCTCTATCATCTATCATATCTATCTATCTATCTATCTATCTATCTATCTATCTATCTATCATCTATCTATGTGTCTCTGTCTATCTATCTATCCTTCTGTCTATCTATCCACGTGCCTTTCTGTCTGTAGACTGGAGGTGGGTGGGAGGGGCATGGCAGCCATACAAAACAGGTACAGAAGTCACAGGTGACAGTGGCTCCATCAGAGTGGTGATGGTGGAGGTAAGAAATGGTTGTGTCTGGAAAGATTTTTAGACCAGCGCTTCCCAAAAGCCCTCTCCCCGCATCCCCCACCCCCACCACCTCTGACACCTAGCTTTTTCTTCCATAAGAGTCTGGCTTAGCTTAAACTTCAGGGTCATTCTGATTTACAATACGGCAAAATCCTGTAAGCAAAGATGCACAAAGACTGCAGGCCTGAAATCAGTGTGAAAAGAGAGTATAAAGGGAACACGTGCAGTAAAGTATTTCAACACATTTACTCTGTGCACACGTCTGCAGCCTCAGCCGCGCTTCTGACCTCAGGTCCAGCCACACATCCCGCCCCCGAGGGAAGGATTCAGACCTGGAGCCCTTTTTCTTGAGGAGCTGGGCAGTGGTGGGCTGGACAGCAGAAGGAAGTCCAGAAGCCAGATCTGCACAACGGGTGGGGGTCGGGGGTTAGGGGTGGGGGTGAGGGTGGGGGTCGGGGGTTAGGGGTGGGGGTGAGGGTGGGGGTCGGGGGTTAGGGGTGGGGGTGAGGGTGGGGGTGGGGGTGGGGGGTGGTCCGCAAGCCCAGGGAAGCAGGAGTGGGGTTAGGCACGGAGATAGGGAAGAAACGGGACAAATTCAGAGTGATGCTCTGTTTATGTGTTATTTATTTATGTATTTATTTTGAGCTACCACAGATCACAAAGAAAACAGCCGATGATGGCTCATGAGGGTGTCTCAGGGAGGCCGTCGGGGCCCCTGCACCTTGAGTTGTTCTAAGGTAGGGAGGAGGGAAAGCGATCAGCCTGCTGGTCCCTTTCCATTGCTCAAGACCCTGCCAAGCAGCCCCTGGCCTTTGCCCAAAGTGGAGACGATGGAGGGCTCAGGACGACGGGGCGAGGTGCTCAGTGCAGAGGAGGGAGCCTGCACCCACTGGGGTAGAGCTGATGGCCTGAGCATATGCGGCACCCACGGGACAGAATGCTCTTCCCCCATCCTTGCCCAGGTTGCTGGAGCTGACACCCAGGTGAACGCGGCTGGGACGAAACAGTGGTGAGCGGCCACTAAGCTTCTGTCCCAGTCTCCGTCAGCTGACCCCACCGAGAGCACACACTTACCCAGGAGAGAATCACACCCGGCCCTTCTGAGTGCTGTGGCGCCTTCAGACTTTATTCGTAGCAGATGCCGTGAGGACTCTGCCCACATTTCTCTGTATCCACTGACCATTTTTATGCCCCCGAGCCCCAGGTCTCTCAGTCCCAGCATCCGGCTTCTGAATCTTGCAGGCCCCCGAGCCCCAGGTCTCTCAGTCCCAGCATCCGGCTTCTGAATCTTGCAGGGGCTGCCCTCTGGCCACAGGAACCTCTTCCCTGGGGTTCGCTGAGCTCCTGGAGGGCTACGCTGTCTGGGAATTTATAACCCTCAGACAGTGAATGACAGATAAGACATAGAGCACCTGAGCACCCCCCAAACCAAAGGGCACACCTGTGAGCAGTGACAAGCAGCCTCCCAGTTCCTCCATGAGATGGAGCCGGAGTGACCCCCACAGCGTGCGGCCTCCTCCCCACCCAGTACCACCCCCCATTCCCACAAAGGGGTCTTCCAGGGAACACATCATTTATTTATACTGCTTCCACACAAATCCTCGTCTTGGGTTTGCTTCTAGAACCCCAGACTGAGATACCAACCCACAATCACGCCAGTGTTCAAATTCCATTCCCACCCAGGTGCCGAGGACGGCCAGGTGAGCAGCAGAGGACGATGACAGGAATTCTGAGTCCGCCTCAGTGAACAAAGCGGCGTGTGGCACACGGTCATGCCACGAGCCTGAGAGCAGATTGCAAAGCAAAGCGTGTAGTGCAATCCAACTTTTGGAAAGAAAAATAAATCCTTTATATATGACGGTGTAATAAAGAATTGAACCTTGCCCAGAGAGACCTGGCCTCTTCCCCCAGCTTCTGAGAGGTGGTCTCTAAGCCACATGGGACGGTCTTGGTTTGCCTGGGCCTTTGGACCACACCAGGAGGCCTAAAGTGTGATTCAGGTAGGGGTTGCGATGAGCTCACCCTCGAGTGAGCTGGAGACCTCCATCCGCATGGGCAGTCAACCATGGGGCCCCAGCAAAGGCTCTGGGACACTAAGCTCGGGGGATCCCACCTGGATGCCCCAAGTGACACTGCCCACAGCTCTGTGGGGAAGGACCCTCTGCAGGTGGGAACTTCCTGGACTCCGGCCTGAGCGCCTTTCCCTGGGTTGATAGTCATCTGTGTCCTACCCTTGTGCTAAGTCATGACCATGAGTATATCAGCTTTCAGTGAGTTTTTCTAGCGAATTATCAAAACTGAGGGTGGTCTTGGAGACCCCTACCCTTGTAACTGGTGAAGAATTGAGGACAGTTTTGTAGATTATGGTTCCCTCTAGCCCTGCAATGATGTTGACTGTAAGTACATTAAAGTATTTGTTAGACACTGGAAAACGATATGCAAAATGTAGGAAGTGGATGCCTCTGGGCTGTAGGATCATGCATAAGAGTGTATTCTTGTGTTTTCTATTTATTTTGTGCAAGACACGGTGATTACATACAGTGGGAGCTCCCTCAACCAACCTCTGCTCCAGCAACTCACATAATCTTGGTCAAAATGGGCTGGATGACTCAGTGAGCACAGGGGGCAAGGAGGCTGCTCTCTGCTGGTCGTGGATTTCGTCAGTTGAGATGTGACCAACCGGGAGACACTCAGGTTTGCTCCAAACCTGTTGATGCCACCTGTGATCCTTACTAGTGTCAGAGGCATTTGAACCAGAGCGACTCCATCTTGAATAGGGGCTGGATGAAATGAGGCTGAGACCTGTGGGCTGTAACCCCAGGAAGTTCAGTGTTCTTAGTCACAGGATGAGTAGGAGGTCCGCACAAGGTACAAGTCACAAAGACCCTGCTGATAAAACAGAATATGGTAACGAAGCTGGCTGAAACCAAGACGGCAACGAAAGTGACCTCTGGTCACCCTCACTCCTCGCTATACACTAATTATAATGCACTAGCATGCTAAGAGACACTCCCACCAGTGCATGACAGTTTACAGATGCCATGGCAATGTCAGGAAGCTACCCCATGTGGTCTAAAAAGGGGAGGAACCCTCAGTTACAGGAATTGCCCACCCCTTTCCCAGCAAAATCTTGAATGATCCACCCCTTGTTTAGCATATCATCAAGAAATAACCATAAGTATATTCAGTTGAGCAGCGGACATCACTGCTTTTCCTACAGAGTAGCCATTCTTTCATTCCTTTACTTTCTTAACAAACTTGCTTTCACTTTATGGACTAGCCCCGAATTCTTTCTTGCACGAGGTTTAAGATCCCCTTCTTGGGGTCTGGATTGAGACCCTGTTCCAGTAACACCATGAAACTTAATTCAACATTATGTAACCTATTACATATCAGTGCAAAATGACAGAAAGTTGTTTCTACATAAACCTAGATAAGTGATTTGGGAAAACAAGGTCAAGGTAACTTGAGGCTGCTTTAAAAATTGCTTTTGAATTAGGTATAGACAAGATGACTCTTAAAAATGAAAACTAATTGGTGAACGTTTGGAGAAATTCTGGTCTTAGATTGTCTTAAAATGTGCCCAACTTCTTGGTCCACTTTAAAAAATATGAAATTGGGTGGCTAGGAAGGAGAGTTAAGCCTGGGGTTTACACTAAAGAAGAAGAAGAACTTCAATCAGCAGACCAATGCTAAATACAAGCTTGTCCCTATATGGAAATATCTAGATTCATGAATGGAGCCAGAAGTGGCCAGATGGTGATGACGACCAGAGGGAGGGTTGGAGGCCTGGGACTGGGGCGTTGGCTAGGAAGGGGTGGGAATATTCATGAATGGAGAAGTGGCCAGATGGTGATGACGACCAGAGGGAGGGTTGGAGGTCCAAGACTGGGGCGTTGGCTAGGAAGGGGTGGGAGGGCCTCTCTGGAGTCACAGAAGCCTCATGCATCTTGACCAGGACGGTGGATGCATGGCTTACATTGGTCACAACTTGTCAACTTGTATGACTGAAAACTGAACATCACATTGAATTGGACTCAAAGGCAAGACCTGAGGCAAAATTCATGTAAGGAGGGAGTTTGGGCGAAGCTTGAGGACTGCTGCCCGGAAGCGTAGATTCAAGTTGCCCTGAATACACCTCCTATTAGCAGCTGTTACAGGTGGGTTTTTCAAGGGAAAGAAGAGGCTGTTCCAAGTTGTTGACCAAGGATTTATGTTAAAGTAACATAATCTATTGCTTGGCTCTATATTGTTAAGCCGTAGGGTGTGAGTTGCAGTGTCTGCTGCTGCACTAGGAGGTTAACCTGAGGCAACAGCCAGCGTTTCAAGAGACGAATACACAGCTCCAAGGCGGGGAGTGGGAAGTCACTGCCGCCTCACTTGACTGCCTCTCTGGGCCTGATCGTTTAAAAGGACTTGCATCATCCCTCAGCACAATTTCTTTCCTTTTCTCAATTGTATGAAAATTATACCTCAATAAGTTTACTATAGAAATTAATGAGTAAATATGTATAAGTTTTCAAGTTAAAAATATATGTAAAATATGTTTGCTCACTTTTTTAACCTATCTTCATTGGTTTTAAAAATTAACAAACCATGATGGCTTTGGAAACATGTTCTTCCATTTGTTACTTTCATAATGAAAGAAGAAATGTATTTTAAATAACATTTAAATTTAATTTTTTCATTATCATCTGGGAAGCCCCAGCCCTTTATGAAAGGAAAACAATGTCCACTTTAGAGTTAAACTTGCTGATGGAAAAACCAGACTCCGTAGAATATTTTAAAGAGGTTATTTCTGAGCCAACAGGGGCAACCACAGCCTGGGAGACAGGCTCCAAGGAGTCCTGAGAAAGGACCTGAGGTCGGGTTGCAGTTTTTTTTTAATTTTTTGAGATGGAGTCTCGCTGTGTCACCAGGCTGGAGTGCAGTGGCGCGATCTCGGCTCACTGCAACCTCCGCCTCCCGGGTTCAAGAGATTCTCCTGCCTCAGTCTCCCGAGTAGCTGGGACTACAGGTGCCCGCCACCACGCCCGGCTAATTTTTGTATTTTTAGTAGAGACAGGGTTTCACCGTGTTGGCCAGGATGGTCTCGATCTCTTGACCTGGTGATCCACCTGCCTCGGCCTCCCAAAGTGCTGGGATTACAGGCGTGAGTCACCGCGCCCGGCCGCAGTTTGGTTTTAACATTTCAGGGAGGCAGGAGTTACAGGCAAAGACATACAGCCGTGCACAGAAGGTCGGCATTGGTTTGACCTGAAAGGGAGGGACATCTCAGAGCTGGGGCTTACAGGACATCGGTGGATTCAGAGATTCTTTAATTTGCATTTGGTTGGAGGAGGAAGGTTCTGTCTAAAATTTGGAAGCTGTGTAGCAAGATGATGACCTGCAGGTGTGACTTTACCCTTGCCTGCATGGGTCCTGTTTATAATTTGGTATCTTATTGCCACAAAGAGTCTGTCTGTCAGTCCTAAGATCTCCATGACCTCTAATGCTGGTCCGTGGTTGCATCTAAGCTGCAAAAGGGAAGGAGTATAATGAAGCGTGGCGGGCCTCCCTTCCCATCGAGGCTGGGAACTCAGCTTTTCAGGTTTCTCTGGGGCCCCTTTCAGTTGTTTAGGGGGCTTAGGGTTTTGTTTAGCTTACCAACTTTTCCTATTAGAAATTTAGCTGAAGTTGAGGTCACATAAGTCTTCTGGAGCATTCCCTAACACAGAAAATGCCCCGCCCTTTAGAATTCTAACAGGACAGAGAAAGTGGAGGCGAGGAGCCCACCCTCTCCAACTCCTGCTCTTACCGGGGCCCCAAGACCCAGAGGAGGGGCCTGCCTGGGCCCTGGGGAGGGCACCCAGCCTGTGCTCCCTGGAAGGGTGGGTTACTCCAGGCAGGCCACTCCTGCTGGCATGGCGATGATTCAGTTTCAGCCCTGCACCTGCAGCCTCTGGTTGCAGCCGGTCTGCAGTGTTTCTCTTTGTTCCCCCTTCCATCTTCCTCCCACCTTATGTTCCCATGCTTCCCAGCAGGAGCGGAGGCCCAATTTGCGTTTCCTTTTCTGTAATAAAGCCTGCTGATGGGTGATTGCAGCTTTCTCTCACTGCCAGGGAGGAACTGGGGTAGGCTCCAGGCAGCCAGAGGCACCACTGTGCTTCCGTGGGTTTCCCCGGGGCACCTTCAAGTTCCAGTGTGAGTGCTGTTGAGATTCCGGGCGTCCAGTGCACACACGGGAGACGGCCATTGCCTCCCCTCCAGCCCCAGCCGCGGTGCACAGGGCGAAGGCTGTCTGGGTGAAGGCTATTTGTGAGTGAGGCCGGGGAATGAGGGGCAGTTGGCTGCTGCTCTGGAGGCCTGGGCGGCCTTGGTGTCTGGGAGCCTCGGCCAGGACACTGGCCGGTGGGGCCCTCGTGGCCCTAGCTGACCTTGACTTACTGCAGCTGGAGCGAAGTCTCCCACAGGTCCTCCATCCTGCAGGGATTCGGGCATGACTAGGGGTCAGGTGAATCTGATGGACAGCCCTGCTGCATGAGTTCAGGCTGGGGCACTCCTGCAGGAGACTGAGCGCCCAGCACTGTCCATGAGGAGGGGGATTCTGAGCACTCACTGTGGCTGTGCCCCCGACTCAGCTGCAGCCTGGAGGGAGTGTCCAGCCCCAGGGAAGGCAGAAAGCCCTTGACAAACCCTGGTGCTCTGGCAGCCTGGTGGGCTGACAGGCAGCCCTGTCCCCATCCCTCCGCACGTCTCAGGCATGGCCTGCACGGGTCTCCTCGCAGGTGCCCCCACACCCCACCGTGCACGCCTGGCCATCTCCTAGAGAAAGGCCTCCCAGGCTGCTCAGGAGTGGCCAGGCTCCTCCTGCCCTCCTTCTCTTTGAGTGCTGAGCATGGGAGGCAGGTGGGGGGCCAAGGTCTTTGAGTGCTGAGCATGGGAGGCAGGTGGGGGGCCAAGGTCTTTGAGTGCTGAGCATGGGAGGCAGGTGGGGGGCCAAGGTCTTTGGGTGCTGAGCATGGGAAGCAGGTGGGGGGCCAAGGTCTTTGAGTGCTGAGCATGGGAGGCAGGTGGGGGGCCAAGGTCTTTGAGTGCTGAGCATGGGAGGCAGGTGGGGGGCCAAGGTCTTTGAGTGCTGAGCATGGGAAGCAGGTGGGGGGGCCAAGGTCTTTGAGTGCTGAGCATGGGAGGCAGGTTGGGGGCCAAGGTCTGAGCCTTTTGGAAGCACCCATCATCTGGTTCTCAAGTCAACTCTGATTTTCACGTCACTGGTGATTACTTCATTTTAAAAGGTAGCCTCCTGTTTTGGAGGTGTGAACTAAAAGCATAACCCTGAATCCCCCCCTCCACTGACTGAATGACCCTTCTCGGTCAAGGGGACCCAGAGAAACCTGAAAAGCTGAGTTCCAGGCCCTGACAGGAAGGGGGTCAGACATGCCTCGTCATACTCCCTCCCTTTGGGAGTTTAGACACAACTGACCAGCAGTAATGTTAAAACGGAGATCTTAAGACTGACAAAGCAGACTCTTGGTGGCAATAGGATACCGAATTATAACAGGACCCGAGGCCGCACAAGGCAGGGGTGGGTCCCACCTGCAGGCTGAGCAGGACCTGAGGCTGCACCTGTAGGCTACAGATCCTGTAGCAGGATCTTAACTTAAACGTTCCAAGTTTTAGACAGAGCCTTGCTCCTCTCACCAACAGGAACTCAAAGAATCTCTGGATCCATCTATATCCTGTAAGCCCCCTTCAAGGTGTCCCACCTCCAAAGGCCGAGCCAGTGTGGACCTGCCATGCATGGCTGTATGTCTTTGCCTATAACTCCTGCCTCCCTGAGATGTCAAAACCAAACTGCAATCCGATCTCCTCAGGCACACGTTCTCAGGACTCGCTGGGACCGTGTCTGTCTGGCTGTGTCACTCACTGGCTCAGAAGAAACCTCTTTAAAATATTTTACAGAGTTTGGTTTTTCCATCAACAGAGAAAAGACTTGGAATATGCAGGAAAGACTTGATCAATTTCAGGTGGTGGGCAGAATGCTTGTCACAGACGCACCCACTGCAAGTCTGCACAGCTGAGTGGAAGGAGCTGGTGCCTGACACTGTGACCCGAACTCAAAGGGCCACTCAGGCAGCACAGGCTGGTTATCAAGGGCGTCACTCCACCACCTCCAAAGCAAAAGGGACGTGTGGAGGACTGTGCTGCATTTTGTCTCAGTATTCATCAGCCTGGAGATAGAAATGTGTTCCTGTCGGGGGCGAGCCTTCCCTGTTGGACGTGGGTTTCTGAGGTTGTGTTCCCATTGGGGGTCAGCCTTCCATGTTGGAAGTGGGTTTCTGAAGTTGTGTTCCCGTTGGGGGTGAGCCTTCCATGTTGGAAGTGGGTTTCTGAGGTTGTGTTCCTGTCGGGGGTGAGCCTTCCATGTTGGAAGTGGGTTTCTGAAGTTGTGTTCCCGTTGGGGGTGAGCCTTCCATGTTGGAAGTGGGTTTCTGAGGTTGTGTTCCTGTCGGGGGTGAGCCTTCCCCGTTGGAGGTGGGTTTCCGAGGTTGTGTTCCTGTCGGGGATGAGCCTTCCCTATTGGACATATGGGTTTCTGAGGTTGTCTTCCTGTCGGGGGTGAGCCTTCCCCGTTGGAAGTGGGTTTCTGAGGTTGTGTTCCTGTCGGGGGCGAGCCTTCCCCATTGGAAGTGTGTTTCTGAGATTGTGTTCCTGTCGGGGATGAGCCTTCCCCATTGGACGTGGGTTTCTGAGGTTGTCTTCCTGTTGGGGGTGAGCCTTCCCCATTGGAAGTGGGTTTCTGAGGTTGTGTTCCTGTCGGGGGCGAGCCTTCCCTGTTGGAAGTGGGTTTCTGAAGTTTGCTGTTGGAAGCAGAGCTTGCGTCCATGCTCACAGCAGCACCAGCCGCAATCAGTCACTGAGGTCTGTGCTGGGTGTGGAAGATGAGAGTGGTACCACATGTTCCTCAATCTGGACTAGAGGTTTGTCTGTGATTAGCGGAGACTGGCCTGCCAAGAGCCAAGGGCGCTGTGTTTGCATGTACAGCAGGCGTCTGATACGGTTCTGGGGCAGACGCCAGCCAGGCCGAGCAGGCAGCCTCCACTGCTCCGTGCATGGGGTCAGAGTCCACAGCATGGGACCTGGTCCCTGGGCAGGCCTGACAGACATCTGTGAACCAGGAATGGGCATATTCCAGGAGGTCTGGCACAAAGCAAAGTCATTGTAGACTTTGGCAATTGCATTTGTTCCAGATAATACATTTTCTTAGGACCTAAGGCCTCAGAACTTAAAATGAATGTTGTAAAGTTTGAAGCCAAAACAAAATGCAGACAGGCTGTACCCAGCAATTCCTGACTCTGCAATCTGGGCCTAATTCAAGTACTCATCTCCATGGCCTGCCAAAACCCTCCCACCGGAGCTCACCCTGTGGTCCAGTGCTCAGCACCATTCATACCTATGTTCGGGGACAGAAGCCACTCTGGGGACTAGGAAGAAAACACGTAAAGGAATTGAGCTTAAAATAAAAAGAAATTCGGTATATTTCATACCCACTAGCAATATGCCTTTAGAAAGAGACAGGCTGGCAACTGCACGTTGGGAAGGACGCACAGTGACTAGAACTCTCGTTCCCTACTGCTGGGAGTGCAAAACGGAACAGCCACTCTCCCGACTGCCCAGCGACCACACTCCCGGGTGTTTACCCAAGAGAAATAAAAATCGTGTCTGTAAAAGAATGTCTATCAGCCTTATTGATAACGTCTCCAAACCCTGATTACATCAAGTGTCCGACCGCAGGAGGACGGACGAGAACGGGTGGCCCTTCACAGAACAGGCTAATTCTCAGCATGTGGGAGCACTCGTGCGTGGAAGGCCAGGCGTGTGACACGTGTGAGCATAGCGTGGGCAGGACGCACGTGAGGGCAGTGGCGGCTTCAAGCACAAATCCTAGGGACTGGGTGGGTCCTTGGAGCAGCAGGCCTGGGTGAGCCTTAGTGGACTCCTCTGTGGCCTGTAGGGGGGTCTCTGCCCTCATCACACCCAAGGAGACCAGGAGACCCGCACAGATGCAGGTTCTCCTCAGTTGTCTAGTGGAGGACTTCAGATTGGAAAGAAACTCTCAGCCTGGCAGCCTCACAGTACTGAGGAGGCCACAGGCCCAGGAAGGGCCTCACTATTGGGCCCCACGCTGCCGGCTCCTGGTGACCTGCGTCCCAGTACCTGGTCTGGTTTCTTTTCCCAGACTTTGGAAGGTCCCCGTTGTCTGCAGGGGGTCCCAGCCCTGCCAGGGGAAACCCCCCAAATCCGAAGGCAAGGGAACGCCCAGGAGAGGGAACCTGCTGTCCACGCTGCAGAAAGGCCCGCAGTTCTCCTGTCTTCACAAGATGCCTGACCCCGGCTGAGTCACCTGAAATCTTTCCAAAGCACCCTCAGCACACATTAGGGCACTTCTCCCTGTATTTTGGTATCAACCTATTTCCCCTACCCTGCCTCAGTCCTATTGCTTCTTTGTGAACTTTGCTTAGAGAATCTTCTCCTGAAGTCTGCAGAGGAAACTGGGGCGCCCTCAGATGCTGTGTTCACACTGTGTGTGGACACACAAGCATCCCCTTGGCCACCCCCAGGCAGGCCCTGCAAGTCGGAGGCCTGAGGGGAGAACCAGTGTCCCCGAGACACTCTTGCTGGTCGGAGACGCCTGAGTGCTGTGACCAGGCCACACACAGAGACTGGCGCTGCAGCCCCTGGAGGGGAGGCTTCAATCTTCACCCAAAGCAGCCATCAGTGGGACTCACCCTGGGCTGGCCTGACCCAGCACAAAACTATAGTGTCGAAGAAATACAGGAAATGAAAAGAAACCTAGAATGAACTGAAACCAAAATGGGGGGAAGATGGAAATATTAACTACCCAGTATGTAAAACTGGTTTTCACACTTTTTAACGTTTTATACATGGCACTGCCTGTTACCCAGGCCCCGACTCGGCCCCTCCCTGGCCTGCTGCCTGCGTTGCTCCTGCCCGTCATTCCCTCCCCTCAGCCTGCTTTTCCTCCAAAGCTCTAGCTAATACCTGAAATGACAGCATGGATTTGCTTATTTATTTATTGGGCTGCCCCTCATACATACGAGCTGCAAGAGGGCAGGGTCGAAGCCTGTCTTGTTACAGGGCCCGTGGTGGAGCTGTACAAGTCACACCCTGCCGAGGGGAGCACTCTGCTCACCAGCCGCCTGGAGGGGCACACGTTTCCCACCCCATTCACCCAGGGGAGACCTTTTTCCGTTGCGTGCAGAGGTTCTGTGTGAGCTGGAGGCGGCCACGGGCCAGTCACACGGATGGTGGCTCCGGCTGGTGCCCATCCCTTCATATTCAGGAGAGACGGACTGTCTGTGAGACATTCTCACAGGTGCTCTGGGATACACGCCATGGCTGTACCTGGCCTCAAGTGGCTCATCGTGCTTCAGGGGATACAAAATGGATACACAGATAACTCTAATACAAAATAAGGTCTGAGGGCAGGAATTTTGGAATATTGTCATATTTGTTTCTAGAGTTATTTTAGAAAAGCTCATATTGTGGGATTTGGATGAAAATTCATCATTACATTCTTAATAGACCGATTTGGGGGGCAAACTGGAGTCCTTTTGTAACACTGGTTTGGATAAGGGAATTTGAAATTACCTCAAAGAATAAGCAACAGTTCTAATTTTCATTCCATTTAGGTTCAGAAAAAGGATGGAGGTAGAAAGTCCTCTCTCCCAAACACTATGATTGACACTGCAGAGTTCTGCAACTCTCGTACGAGGGAGATTTCATGATGATCTCAGTAACCGATCAGAGAATCAACGACTGACTTCGCTGAGGCACGGTGATGAAAAGGTCAAGGTGGTCTGGTCTGAGTGAAGTCACAGCAAGAACCCTTGTCCAGGGCCATTCTCACCTTTGGGGACAGCTCCTTCCCTGTATGGTCCTCATGTCACTGCACTTTCCTGCCTTGTTTCTTGCTGAAGCCATTATTTCTTAATTCCTTAGTAGATATGCAGAGCGGACATCCCAAAGAAGCTAGAAAAATTGATGAGCAGGGAACAGATCAAATCCTCTCCATCAGTGGAAGGCAATTCACGAGGGAAGAAGGCAAGACCATGGGGTAATTTTTCTGAGACTTGACAATGTTTGCCAAGTAAATAAATCTGCCATTTAACACTACGATAAAAGCTGTCATAGCCAGGGTATTAGTGACTACTTGAGGTTTGAGGACAATGAAGACAGAGTAAGATAAACATCCTTACTATCCAGAAAAAAAAAACGGAACCAGAAGACAGCGCTTCTTACTATCCACAAAAGAAATGGAACCGCAAGACAGCCCTTCTTATTTTTCTCCATCTTCGATGGTGAGGAAGAATAAAAAAAAAGTTGCTTTTAAAGTATATTCATTAAAATCAAATTCTATTATCATACACACAAAATATTTACGTGAAACCAGCCACAAAAGAATGACAAGGAACGCTACTGATTTGTCCATTCTGGGGGATAAGAACACAGATTCTTATCTCACTCTTGTTAAAAGAAAACTTCAGCTGAATTAAATTTAAAGGAGTTTAATTGAGCAATGAATGATTTGCACATCGGGCAGCCCCCAGAATTACAGCAGATTCAGAGAGACTCCAGTGCAGCCACGTGGTGGAAGATTTATAGACAAAAAAAGGGAAGTGAGGTAGAGAAACACCTGGATTAGTTACAGGTTGGCATTTGCCTTATTTACACACAGTTTGAACATTCAGCAGTGTATGAGTGATTGAAGTACGGCTGCTGGGACTGGCCGAGACTCAGCAATTGTGACAGGTACATACTCCTAATTTAGGTTTTCAATCTTGTCTACCTATTAAGTTAGGCTCAGTTTGTTCACAGGGACTCCAATACAGAAGTACGGAGTCCTTCTCAGGCCATATTTAGTTCGCTTTAACAATTCCCCCTTTTTGGTCATTTTATCAGTTTTGAGAGATTGATCGAAACTTGAGTTATTGATGTCACTGTCACCATTGGTCTTGAAACCCACTAGGAAGCAGAACAGTGAGTTTTGCAAAGGTAGGAACAAGGACTGAGTTGAGGATACCACCTTATGCTGGAAAGTCCTGTTTGCAAGAGAAAAACAAAACCTGGTCTATTCTAGGACCCATGTGTTTCCTTAAAGTCTTAATTCGATTATGTCACATTTAGCACGAATGATGCCATTTTGGTTCGGTTTGGTCTGTTGGGACCTAGTGCTCAGTCCAAAACAATGGCCTCCCATCATTTTGTTTAAAAAATTCCCCCTTTGTCAGGTTGTCACTTAGGCAAGAGTGTGACCAAAACTTAGGATGTTAGCGCCACTCTCCGTTACTATCATTTTGGATTTCCAGTCTCAGCATGTCACTCATCGGTTTCGGTGTCCTCGTGGTCACACATTTCTTTCAGCTCTTGTCATTCCAGTTGAAGAGAGACCATCTGACGTTCTAAAGATGGCTTCATGCAAACATTTAAAACCTTTGAGAGAATACAGTGCACCAGGGAGACTATTCTTATGACTACTGAGAGGGTTAACACCAAGAATTTGGAGTATGCTCCTTAGCCAGGGTCCCCATAAACCAGACCACCTAAACTCAAATAGACCATTCTTTGACTTAACTCAGTGGTCTTTTCGTTAATTCCCTACAACAGACTCTCTATAACACCTGATGTTTTCTCCATAGGCCTTAAGTGCCAGCATCTGCACAGGTACTTTCCTGTTTAGCCAATTCTATTTTTTAGCATAACTTTCACAAGAGAATTTAACATCTGTTGTGTAGCCTTTACAGTAGAATCTGCTACAGAGTCTACCATGAGGGATATGTTTCTAGTCATTGCCTTTTTAATTCCAAACCATGGAAAAAGGACCTAACAAATGATGCCCTTCTAGAAGAGGGAAGGCCTCTTGGCAATGGTCTCTTTAACCCATGCTGTGGGTTAAGAGGAGTGAACCAATGTTCTGCTTCTGAATGATTATGAGGCACCATATGTACCATTGAAGTTTCTCACCTATGATACACTGGGCCTTCATCTTTATCTATCAAGTTATAAGATTATCCATGTATAAAGCTGGCTGCAAAGCCCTTCACAAATAAAAGTATACCCCATAAGTGCACAAAACAGACCCCCTTCTCACTTCTGTTGTTCACAGAGGCGGAAGCAACGGAAAAACATTCAAAGATAAGAGTCTCATGATAGTAAGAAGTCTTGATCCATGATCTTCAGAAAGAGCTGCTCACATCAAGGATGCCATCTTCTTCTGGGGAGAAACTTCCCTGATTAGCTTTACCTTAAGGGTTTCAATGGATGTAGAGTTCCAAGAGTGACCCTGCTCAGTTGTGAGATTATGACCCCAAGGTTCAAGATCCTGATGTTTTGTTGCAGTGATGATGCCAAGGGCAGCGTTTCTCTGATGTTCTCAGAAGATCCCATCTTTGGGTTCTAGATTGTGAAGGGGTTGATTGTCCTCAGTGAACCATAAAAAGCTCTTTACCTGGTGAAAATACACTGATACATAGTAATCTACTGTTATAACATTAGCCCTCCTGCATGGGAAAGCTTTAGTACAACCAGAACACATACATTGAAAATGACAACTGAATGAAACCCCTTTATAAATGTTTAAATGCCTCATCAGGTAGCCAAATGTACATGAAGCTTTGATTGACTTCCCAGGAGTATGGGTTTGACAAACTAAACATTGTTTATAAACTATTTTAACAATCTGTAAGTCACCACACCAACATATTTAATTTGGATCATTTTATCTTTTCCAGGATGAGTCATGGAATGCATAACTTTTAATAACAAAAGCTTTAAGGACTCACGAAGGACAAGGCAGCCATCTTGGTTCTCCATGAGTCCATGCTTAACATCGGACTTATGTCCTCTTGGGTGCCAGTTGTTTCTCCAAATTGGGCACATAGCATGGATAACTGATGGGTTATCACAGGTAATTTGACTTAGACCATGGAGTTCATTCAAATTGTATATCTAAACAATTTCAGTATAGGCTGATTAAGTATGCAAACCTGGTGAAGCATTTCCTCGGTATTCAATTAATTTTTATTCTATTTGGGTTAGCAGTTTTATAAGCCAGTCAGTCTTTTCATTAAAGTTTCAGCAATTCTTACCCAGTCCAAATGATGTGATTTTGAAGTTACTAGAAACCTGTATTCCACAGTGCTTTTCAGGGTCCTCCCCATCCGTTCACGAACCTCCTAAAAGACACCATGTTCTAGGATTTTTGTGTGCTTGTGAAGTTTTCAGAAACTACATCAGCATGAAGCAATTAACTGCGGAAATGACTTTAAATACTCAAAAAGACACAATTGACAAAGAAATTTGGTTATAACAACAACATAACCATAATTATGATCGGTAGCATATACTCAGAAAAATTAGAATTTTAGAAATCCCATACAACTTTGGAACATATATTAATATCATTCACTAAAATATAACCTGAAGAAGGTTAAATTTTTTTTTTGACACTATTCTGTATCGAAAAGTCCAAAATGTTTCTTAAAAAGTAACTAAAAAAACACTGGAGTAATTAAAGGACACTTCCTGTGCAGGGGATGGAAAAATCTCAACAAAAAAGGAGCGCAGAAGAGCCTGGCTAGGCGGGAGAACACGGTCAGGCCCGCAGGAGACGCCGCGGCACCTGCCAGAAAGAGAGCCGCAGGCCAAGACCAGGAGACGCGAGAGAGGTGGGCAGGGCTGCCCGAGAGACCCAGGCGGCCATTGCCCGCCCTGCGTCTGCGCCTGCGCCGGAGCCTCCTCCACACTGCGCCAGCGCCGAGTCCGGCCGCCTCCTCATTGCGCCGGCGCCGGGGCTTCCTCCACACCGCGCCTGCGCCGATGACAACCCGCCTCTACAGGACGCCTGCGCAACGCCATAGTCACCTCATCAGCTCCGTGCACTTACGAGTCTCTCTCTGATCGACCACGTGTTCCTGTCGGCTCACAGAGGCCGCCTCAGGGTCCTCCCCCATTGTCTTCCTCGCACCCTCCACTGTTCCCGGCCCTTCACTCTGCGCTTGCGCAGGAGTCGCTCGCTCCTCTCTGCGCCTGCGCAGAGGCCACCTCCTCCCCGCCCGTCCGCTCCCTTGGCGTCGTCTTGGGCCGCGCCCCGACCCCTTCTGTTTACGCATGCGCAGGAGCCGCCCTGCGCGGGTGGGGGGCTGAGCCCCTGTGGCTTCAGGTTTAAAGGCGCGAGCGCCACCCACGCAGGCACAAGGGCTCCTAGTCGTTTTATTTTTAGCGTAAGGTTTTCCTCTTTAACAAGGAAGTAAAAAAAAAAGTTGTGCAATAAATATTAATCGTCCTTATATGTACTCGGGAACGTTCGTCCTTTAGGTTTTCTCCTGGCGCATGGGCGCCGCCAATCATTTCGGGGCTTATTTTGGTTCTAAAGCCCGGGGCAGCCAGGCCTCCCTGCCTGGCCTCGGCGGGGACGCGGGACCTGGGGCCCCGGACCGGGCCTAACCGCCCTGGCCGGTCCCCACTGATGGTGGCGGTCGGTCCTGATCGTCCTGATGGCAGCGACCAGGCTGGACTCGGGCTGTGCAGGGGCGAGGGGAGCAGGGCGGGGTGACGCCCGGAGAGCGGCCTGGAGAGCGCGTGCTTCAGAAGGCGTGGGCACCCTGTCCCCTTTGCAGATGGGGATGCAGGCCCTGGTGGCGGTGGAGGGGAGATGGGGGCAGGGACGTTGCCGGGCAGAGGAAGCTGGGTGAGTGTGCACTTGGTCCCCTTTGCTCCTCCCTGGGACTTTGGGCTCTATAGGGCAGCCTCCGAGGCCCACGTGCACACTCGGTGAACCACAGTCCAGACACAGGCAGGGCGGCAGGCCAGGGAAGGAGAGGCCAGGTGTTGGTGCATGGAGAGGCCAGGTGTTGGCCTGGGGGTGCTAAGTGAACCCCCAAGGTCGCGGAGACAGTAGGGCAACAGCAAAACGAGCTCTGCCGTCCAGGGCGAGGGCCCGGAGTCCTCCCCAGGGGTGGGCTGCAGAGAAGCCCCTGTCCAGGCCCTGCTCACCTGCAAAGTGCTCCCGAGCTCCTGTGCCCCCAGCAGCAATCCCAGCCCCGCTGACACCCAAGCTTGTCACCCGCTGGGTTTCTTGAGGTCTGAGGACCGTGGCTGAGGGTGCATGGGCGCTGGGATGGAGGGGGATGTCCTGTCCCAGTCTGTGCTTATTAATTGTTAAAGAGGGCAAGGCTGCTTTTATTCAAGGTGGGGGGGCTGCTAAAGCGAGATGTTGGGTTAGGGGAGGCAGATCCGGCTCAACTCCAGATAGAAAAAGTGGGAATTGACAGCCCAGGCGTAGGGTCGGGAGTGGAGAGAAAATTACTAAGAGGAAGGGTCAGGGGCAAGGCGGGTTCTAGCTGCATAGACAGGATTTTTGCTGAAAAGGCAGGCAGTGTGGTCACAGACCGAGGGTGGGAGTTGAGGACTTTGATCAGGGACCAAGAGTAGACGATTTTCACTAAACCGACTCAGCAGGATTCTTGCTAAATCGGCCGAAACCGGCCAAGGTCAGGGACTGGTCACAGGGAGGGCTCAGAGGAGCCTGACTCGAGTGTGGTCAAAGGAGAGAGTCTTTGTCATCTTTTAAGAGGCGAGAGTGACGTATTAGTGAGAAACGGTGAAGGGATCAAGCTCAGGCCAGCAGCCCCGAGTTTGAGATGAGGACAGGCTGGGTCCAGGAAGGGCTGCAGGAATAGGGGGCACCTGAGCCTGCAGAAAGCGGGGAGCCCAGCCGCCAGAGCAGGCACCCCCAGGCAGACCTCAGTGTGTCCTGCCCTGTGGGAGTGGCAAGGCCAGACCAAGCTGGATGTGAACCAGTCCCAGAACACCGCCTAGAATTTGGATTGTAATTTGTTATCGATGATATTGCTGCTTGGTCTCTCTCCTCTTCCTCCCCACCCCCACCCAAGATGGAGTCTGGCTTTGTCCCCCAGGCTGGAGTGCGATGGCAGGATCTCGGCTCACTGCAACCTCCGCCTCCTGGGTTCAAACAATTCTCCTGCCTCAGCCTCCCAAATAGCGGGGATTACTGGTGCGTGCCACCACACCCAGCTAATTTTTGTATTTTTGGTAGAGACGGGGTTTCATCATGTTGGCCAGGCTAGTCTCAAACTCCTGACGTCGTGATCCGCCCACCTCAGCCTCCCGAAATGCTTTGGGATTACGGGTGTGAGCCGCCGCGCCGAGCATGGCCATCGTGGCTACATCAGTCCCGGCTAATAGAGATTTTAGCACACTCAGATTCTATTGGCTAATAAGATTTAATTATAATTCTGGGGTATTTAACAATGTCGTTATACAGTCTTCATTGTTGCAAATGGAGAATGAAATCGGGTGCATGTGACACTAATATGACCTGTTCATGCTCTGTCACTTAAACGGAGTTAAGTAACATAGCCCTGAGCAGGAAGACTCCTTCCCCACTTCTGTCCAGGAGCTCCTTACTCGATTCTGGGGAACAGAAAGGCTTTCAGCGGCCAAGGGGAGTGACAACAGCCAGACATGAGACACCTCCTAGAGCCCTTTGGTGTTACCCTTTCCGGTCCATCAGCCACAGTGTCCACCCCAGGTAGCTGGGTCCTGAGTTCACCGTCTCAGGACATTTTTCGACCTGGTTTGTCTGAATTATTATTATTATTGATCATTGAGACAGGGTCTCAGTCCATCGCCAAGACTGGAGTGCAGTGGTGTGATCCTGGCTTACTCAGCCTCCCAGGCTCAGGTGATCCTCCCAGCTCAGCCTCCTGCGTAGCTGGGACCACAGGCAGGCACCACCATGCCTGGCTAAATTTTTTGTATTTTTTGTAGAGACCAGCTCTCGCTATGTTGTCCAGGTTGGTCTCAAACTGCTGCCTCAGCCTCCCAAGGTGCTGGGATTACAGGCATGAGGGACCAAGCTCAGCAATCTGAATTATTTATGCAGAATTTTTTTTTCTCTAGCTGGAAGAGCTGTTTATATGCACGTTTCTTTGGGGGCAACTCTTCTCCATTGTCACAGATTTTTTTTTTCCAAGCCATTCCTGGGGGATTCCTGGGAGCCATGTGGGAGAGGCGTGAGGAAGTGAGACCTTCACCCCGAGACAGGTCCTGACACACCCTCTGGTGCCTCTACTCAAGTGAGGTGAGAGGGGAAACTGGTGTATTTTTAGATGAAGTTTCCTTGGGAAATTGTTTCTATTTTATATTTTATCAGTAATCCCCTGGCTAATGTTTTAAACCAATATTTATAACACTGCCTCAGAGCTTTGGAATAAACAGATTTCCATAAAGAAAAGCTGCTTTAGAGTGCTACACTGTAAGAGGGGCCGGGCAAACAAGAAGGGACGGAGGAAAGACCACCAAGTGAGAGGCACAGGTGTCAGGACACACAGAGAGCCCGAAAACGAGGCAGAGGTGAGCGGGGACCAGCAGCACAGCGGCACTGACGCGCCAGGGACTTGGGCTCTGCTGGCCTCCTCCCTCGCGGCCAGCAGTGGCAGTGGTGGGAGTAGGCCTGGCTTGTCTGTGGTTGCCTTTGTTGCTTTAATTGAAAGTACTCAAGGCTATTTCTTGTCGCGTCATTTCTGACAGTGTCCGGTGGTCCCTACCCTGTAATGCCAGGAGGTTCCAGCCCCACCCTTCCCTCCCCACTCCCTCTTTCATCTCCCGGATCCTATTAGAGGATTGCTTTTATAGCTGATGAGCTGATGAAGTATGCATTTAGCCCTTTAACCGTAACTGAATTTCCCCTGGTGCACATCTGTATGAAGGGTGTGCACCAGGGCTGAGCCGTCTGCTGGGCGAATATGTCCCTCCCTGAGGCCCAGGACCACAACCCCTGAGTCACTCAAAGGAATCGTTCCCAGCCTTAAGGTCAGATGCGCTTTCTCCTTGTCCTCCATTATTTCTTTAAATTCCTGCCACATTTAAGTTTCTTTATATTTAAACTAAGACCTTTTATTTCTTAAACTTCTAATTGCTGTTCTTTTATTATTTTTGATAGAAGTTTGGCTGCTGTAACTGACTGGGAAGCTTAAAATAACAGACAATCATCTCTCACATTTATGGGGACTGGGAAGTCCAAGACCAAGTTGCCATCTGGGGAGGGCCTGTTCCTCACAGCGCCTTCCAGCTCAGGCCTCGTTTATAAGGGCACTCAAGCCTTCCACGACAACGGGTCCTCATGACTTACTCACCTCGGAAAGCCCCACCCCCAAGACCATCACATTGTGGGTGATGGCAGAGCATAAGGTGCCTTCCCCACATGCTCGGGTTGGCCCAGCGTCTCACGCTAGCAGCTACGTGGAATAGTTATTTTTTCTGGAGAACTCTGGGACCCCTCTGATGTCTTGGAGCACCCACACAGGCCGTTCACTGTGCACGCTGTGAGGCTGTCGTCTTGGAGCACCCACACAGGCCGTTCACTGTGCACGTGGTGAGGCTGTCCTCTGGGGAGTTCTGCTGTTGTATGGGTTCTGTCTGTGTCAATGTCCCAGCGGGAACGCAGGGCACACTAGCGTCATCCCCAGAGGGCTTGGTAAGGGGACTGTTTGCAGAGACATAGGCAGAGGGCTGGAAAACTACCAAAAAAGTGCAGTGTTCTGGACCTAATAATAGCAGAGCTATTCTCACCCTGGTCTGAAGGCAGGAGGGGAGGAGCAGTTAATGGATTCTGGAAGTCAGGTTGCACAGAGTCACCTTGAAAGATGCCATGACCTTCACCGAGGGCCAGACAGAGACTAAGATGACCCCATAGGAGAATAAGACCTAGACCTCATCCTCCTGCCTCCTGCCAGTCCCTGCCAGGGGTCGCCAATGGCAAAACAGGACTGGAAGCCAGAGGCCATGGAAGCCCATGGATGAAGTCCACAGGCCAGCCTCCCCGAGAGCAGCCTGGACGGTCCGCAGGAGACGTCTCCTGTCTTAGGCGTCCCACGCCGCGTGCTCCTGTTCAGCCCTGCCGAGGTGGAAGCTTGGAGTGGCTCACGGTGGATGCATTGACGCTGCAGACGCCAGCAAGTGCTACAAACCAGAGCTGGCCTTTAACTCAGACTGATGGAGAAGGTGTTAATAATGCAGATTAGACTTAAAAGTGTTGAAGCCATTGCACTGTGAACAGCAAAAAAATTGAAGAACTCTTCTGGCATTTAAAAACAATTACTCAGTTCAGCAGAGAAGTCACTGACAAACGAGATCACACTGACTGCTTTGTCGTTTTGGTTTTGTCTTACTCATTAATGCAAATAAGAACATTCACTAGCATCTGTGTCGGGCCTACCCTCCCTGGTCAAATACAGCTACAGTCTCCCTGCAGAAACGAGTTTTCCAGAAATGAGCCGATGTTTTCTGCGAGAATCAATTGGTCATATACAATTTACAAAAATGAGTACTGTATACTATATTTGTAAACTGTACACTGCAGATGCTTTATTTCACTGAAATTTATAATACACTTATCCATGTATATGCATGCATGCATTTTTGTTCCTGAGATCCAGCTGTGAAATGTTTACCAGCACATAAATTACCAGCACATGCTCTTTTTTGTTAACCTACTAGGTAAAATCTTCATTTATTACATCAAATTCTTGTAGTTTTTGTATTGCAATTATGCAGATATTGATTATCGCAGTATTACTGCAATTATACAGATACCACAATTTCAGATATTGATCAGCGTGTTCAGTTGGTTTCTAAGGAGGTTTACTTACCTCATGGTACACCTAGTTTGCATAGTTTGATTATATTTAACTCTTATGCTAATTGGGGGAAGTCATTGATTTATTGGACAGATGCACCTGTGGTCTTCCCTGAGCACATCCTGGCCAAGGATGCTGCCCCCAGGAGATTTGAGAAGTCCTGTAAGGATCATATCAGTATTTTCAAATACTTATAGAAAAGCCAGAGGGATTGACCCAGAATTACCAATATAAGCTTGACCCTGAGATAACAATGCCATTTTATGTTTGCATGCATAAAACCAATGCAAGAGGCTGATGACTCCAGATCCCTTATATAAGCCAATAAAAAGTAGTTTCATTTTTTATTTCATTTAAAAAAGTGTACCATTAACCTAAAGCCTGCTTGTAAAACCAGTTTGTTTCTGAAGCATTAGCTCAAAGCTCACTTGCATTTGGTGAGAAGTCCCTCACGTGTGGCTGCCCTGGCTGGGAGCTCTGAGCTCTGGGAGCCATTGGAACTGCTAATCCCACCAGTGCCGTCTGATTCCCTCTGCTCTAATGGAGGTCTTTTGCCGGGTATCCAGTGGCATTTTCTGGGCTTGGGAGTCAGTAATTCCCAGTGATCAAGTGTCTCTGCTCTGAAAATGCCTTTCTTTGTGATATGAAGCTGTCAGTGATGGAGACTGACCTTTTCATAAGTCAGTGAATTTTCTTTCTCTGAGTCATTTTAGAGAGTGAATCTGAACTCTCCAGTCTGTCCTAAGAAGACATTAATTGGAGCAGGCATGGAACCTTCAGCTTTCCCAGTCACCTGCCGGGTTACTTGGCTTAACCTGGGAATTAACCAGTTAATAAGGTTGTTGAAATGGAAAGAATCCAGGAGGCTGCAGTGTGAGGCTGATTTGCTGTCTTTATTAAGTGAGGAAATGAGAAATGGGAAGAATCCAGGAGGCTGCAGTGTGAGGCTGATTTGCTGTCTTTATTAAGTGAGGAAACGACAGCAAAGCACTTCTAGGCTTCTCACAGCTGAGCACACGAAGACTAAGCCCTCTTCCCGCCGTAGCCAGTGAGGAGAGGATCCCTCTTCCCAAGCCCCCTCAAGCAGTGGCTCCCGCTCACTGGAGGCTGGAGTTTCTAGGGCTTGTCCCTGTCCAGAGCTGCTGCCTCAGGTGTGAGGGTGACTGCCCAGCCCCCGCGCCACAGGCCCTCCTCTCACCCGGACCTCAGGACCAGTTGGTAGGCCCCAGGCTTCCACCTTCAGGGGCATGGGGACGCTGGCCCCTGTGTCCGCCGAGGACGTCCTGGCTCCTTTTGGGGGTCTCTCCTGTCAGGACAGGTTCCGTGGGGTTGGAGGGACTCAGCCTGTTTCTGTGCCATCCGCCTTTAACGGCCCAGAAACGTTAGTGACTGAGAGTAAAATAAGGTCGACTTCACAGTTTCTTTCTCCTCAGCAGTGTCTGGGGGCTGGTCCTCAGCCATGACCGCCGGCCCTGGTCTGTCATCATCCTGATAATTTTCCAGAACTCCACCTGCAGCCGTCATCCTGGGCGGCCCTGCTCCATCTGTACCCTCTGCCCTGCCCTGGTCCTGGACCTGCTCCGCTCTGCATTGCGCTCTGCGGGACCTGAGAGGTTTCTCAGCAGGAGCTGAATAGTGTTGAAAAGGCTTCCAGCCCGCACCTCAGTGGGGCACTTTTCTTCATGGGACATGCGGGGTTGTCTGGGCTGGAGAACACAGATTTGGGGGCACTCCGGAAGGTGGCAGAAGGTTGGCCCTACACGGGACCCAGTGGTCATCTCTGCAAATGCCGGGGCTGGGCTGTTCCTGCCTCAGAGGCCTCCCTCCTCCAGAGCAGGGGTGGAGAAATCAGCCTGGAGAGCCTCACGGCGCAGGAGGGATTTGCCGGGGCTGCCTCTGCATAGAGCCCCCTGCAAACAGAGGAGCTGTTTTATAGCACTGGATTTAGCTTGCAGGGTCCTGGAACACCTAGAGACACCAGAGGGGGAGACCGCAGATGAAGACCTCCTGGACGGCCGGGCAACCAGTGGCAGTCCCACGAGCCACGGGGCCGTGGCCAGCCTCCTTTCGGGACACAGTCCAGCCTGGAGGGAAGGAGGGGACAGGGGACCTTTCTGATTCTTCTTTTTCCTTTTCCTTTGGAATGAGAAAACAGCCTCTACGTTCTCCCATTCACGTCTGTCATCAGCTGAAGGAGCTCTTCCCCTTTTCCCCACTGACTCTGCACCCTCCACGGGGACAGCCTTGCTTTCGGGGCACAATGAAAGAAACATGACTGGAGACATTACCAAGACCTGTCACTTGCTACCTTCTCTTTCTGAAGCCGTAAACATGAGGAAAGACTCATCGTTAGGTTATTATGAATGATGGACCAGCTTATGTGTTTCAATGAAAGCTAGGCTATCACTGAGCTTGCTGGCTTAAAGCTGTGTGAGCCCACTGCTTAATTTTTGGGACACAAAAGGTCTAGAAATGTCGCCTGGCCTTTTCCAGTAGAGGTTGGCCCAAGAGCATGAATTTTCTGGCCAGCATTTCGTTTCTTTTTCCTTCACGTATGTTGCCAGCACTCAGGGCCTGTGGACCTGCCTTCTGTGCAGGGTGTCTTGTCTTTCGGGGCCGTGGCTGCTTCCGTAGGAGGCATGGCAGGTGCCAGCCTGGGGCTGAGCTCTCCCCACGTGGAGCTCAGGGCCTCAGAGGCCAAAGGCACATCCCTCAGAGGGCCTGGAAATGGAAGGCCGGGCTGGGTTTACGGCACACCCAGGCCGGGCTCTAGTGGCTCATGGTCACAGCCTGTCCACACAGCATGGCGCTCCAGAGAATGCTCAGAGGCTTAGGCTCAGACAGACATGAATTCACGTCTGATGGGCGGAGCACCCGTGTGACCATGGCAGGTTGCCTCCTTTTTATCTGCAAAGCTGTGGCAATGATCCCCACCTCCAAGGACTCCAGCGAGGCACATGTGAGACGCTGCATGGGAAGAGCGTCCTGCAAACCCGGCCAGATGGCAGCTGCACCGTCCCTCTGCCAGGTGTCCCTGGAGATGCCTGCCTACCCAGCTCTGTTTCTGTTCACATCTCAGTGTGACAAGCAGCCTGGAAGGGCCATGCTCGAAAGGCTTGGGCCAGGAGCTCTTACCTGGTGAGCACAGACTGCGGCTTCCCAGACACCAACAGGGGAGGGGACAGATGTTGCGCCATGCTACGCCATTGACTTTTCTGCAACTGATACGATGGGAATAATACTCCACTTCAGTTCACAGGGTGGGGGCAATAGTGAGTGAGAGCTGGACAAGCCAGGGAATATTGAGAGACCAAAGACACCTGTTGTGGATTTCCTGGGCCATGAGAGCCGCCTCTTGGACGTGCAGGGTTGACGTAGTCAGCCACTCTTCTGAAACAGCGGCCTGGGGACCAGGCAGCCACGGTGAACCCTGGTACATCACAGAGGGTGCTGACATGGGCTGTACTGTGGGAGCTGCTGTGTAATCATTGCACACTGGGCAGTGGTGTTTGGCATTCCCTGTGATTACGTTCAGCCACCTAGACAGAACCCCAAATCACGGTGGGTGAAACAAGATGGAGCGCATTTTCTTCCATGCACAGGAAGCATGGCAGCTGGCACTTACAGCCAGCGTGAAGCTCCCAGGGGCTCCAGAGCCAGGAGCTCTCTGCTCCTGGGCCTCACATCCCTGCTCATGGCTTCCATGCTCCCTGCCAGCGTGGCTGCTGGAACTCCAGCCTTCTCATCACAATGCGTACAGGGAGGCTTCCAGAAGCTCTGGGTCAGTATTCCGGCGTGCATGTCCTCCACCCTAACGCACTCACCCACATGCGCCGAGCAAAGTTGGAGCGGGTGGAGAAGGGCCTGGCGGTGCAGAGGCCCCAGGATTTCTGGACAGGGCAGCTGTGGCTGCAGCAGGGAGGTGCAGTGCTGCGGGGAGGCGGTTGACAGCTGTCGCCTTTTGCCACTTCTGAGCCCAGCCACCAAATTGGTCCACGTCTCTTAGAAAATTCTGTGACATGGCAGATTCATTGACACTCCTGGTCATAACTGCTTCCCTTCTCCCACTAGACCACCTTCCCTCCCCAGCCCCCTTTTGGTAGCACAAATACAGCTGCTGTGTGTATTGGATCCAGCAGGCGTGGATCCAATTAAACCTACACTATTTGTTTCACTTTTCTTCAGAAAGAGCCTATGAAATATGAGTTTCGGGGGCAAAGTTTTTATCATCAGAGCTGTTCCTTTCCAGCAGACCTTTCAGTTCTCAGCAGCAGCCCTTCTTTCTGGGGTAGGAACTGAGCTGGTCTGTGGGATGCCCCGCCTCGTTCCAAATGGGGTCCATCCCTGAGACAAAGGCACATGATACAAAGCAAAGCCGCACAAACCTGCGGGAATCAGAGTGAGGGAGATGGAGGTGGAACAGCCACGCGGCCCGAGGAAGCAGCTACAGAATGAAGTCTGTTAGTTCCCATTCAGGCACCAGAGTGGGCCACACATTTGCTGGTAGCTTCTATCGACCAGTGCAAAAAGGCGACCGAGGTCTGTGATGTCCCAGAGTGAACATGACAGAGCGCAGGGGACACTCGGGCCTGAGCCCCCTGCCACCAAGGAAGAGGACCTTGAGGAAGGCATGGGTGCCACCTGTCCACTGCACACACAGCCCTTCTAACGAACACGGACCCTCACGGGGCCCGGCGGGGCTCAGACACCGATTCTAACACAGACCCTCACGGGCCCCCGCGGGGCTCAGACACCGATTCCAACACGGACCCTCACGGGCCCCGCGGGGCTCAGACACCGATTCCAACACGGACCCTCACGGGGCCCGGCGGGGCTCAGACACCGATTCTAACACAGACCCTCACGGGGCCCGGCGGGGCTCAGACACCGATTCTCACACGGACCCTCACGGGCCCCGGCGGGGCTCAGACACCGAGGCTGACACACTGCCCTGTGCACACCTGCCTGGAGCCGGTGGCGGGACCCAGGGAGAGACAGCGTGTCCTCCAGCGTCTCCCCAGCTCCTCCGTGGTCAGTGGAGAGTCCATGGGAACGTTTGAGGCTTTGATCCTTGGCAAGAATATTTTTTTTTTGAGATGGAGTCTCACTCTGTCGCCCAGGCTGGAGTGCAGAGTGGTGTGATCTCGGCTCACTGCAAGCTCCGCCTCCCAGGTTCACGCCATTCTCCTGCCTCAGCCTCCCGAGTAGCAGGGACTACAGGCGCCCGCCACCACGCCTGGCTAATTTTTTGTATTTTTAGTACAGACAGGGTTTCACTGTGTTAGCCAGGATGGTCTCAATCTCCTGACCTCGTGATCCACCCTCCTCGGCCTCCCAAAGTGCTGGGATTACAGGCGTGAGCCCCCGCGCCCGGCCGGCAAGAATCCTGCGTGCGGATGTTAAACCAGGGGCCAAATGCAGCCAGGCTTGCACAGTGGGCTTGTCTTCAGCAAGATGGGGGCTGCCTCAGAATCACCAGGAACGTTCGATAAAAATGGAGACTTCCGGAACCTGCCCTAACCTACTGAACAGTATCGTTGCTGGTGGGTGCCCTGCAGTCTGCATTTGGCAAACTGGCATAGCGAGTCCCATGCCGTGTCGAGCCTGAGCCCCACGTTTCATAAGGGATTAGGGTCACTGGAGCTCACGAGGCCGCACCTGTTCCTGGCTGGGTGCGCTTGGGCACTTTGCCCGTCTACGCCTGGAACTTCTCTGGTGTAAACTGGAATAATATCTCCTTTACATGGCACAGAACTAAAGATTCTTTGAGTTCCAGGTAATAAAAACCAAGGCCAGACTAAATCAGACAAAATGACATTTAAAACATAATAAAGACAGGATTGCAGCTGACAGTGGATCTAGAGATCCACAGTTCACTGGGCCCCCACCCTGCCTGTCGCTCAGAAGTCTCCCCTCTGTGTGGCTTCACTCGCAGGCCGCTCCTCTGCACGGAGCAGCAGGGTGGCCGCCATCAGCCTGGTCTCATCTGCCCTCAGGGCTGATGGTCCTGGACAAACAGCTGTCTCTCTGTTCATCAAACTTGAGTTCATAGCCTTCCAGAGGTGGCTGCAAAGCAGGCGGTGTGCTCACCTGGGCCGATCACACCTCTGAGGGACCGAGCGCTCTGAGGACGGTGCCCCAGGTCACACCCGTGAGGGGCACACATCCCCTGGGCTTCAGAGCAACGCAGCTGTGTCCTCTCCACAAGGTGAGTTTGAGGAATCTGTGCACATGGGAAACACAGCCTGCGTTTCTGAGAACAAGGGCTTTTCAGGTTCCCTCCCTCTAGGCCCTCCAGGCCTGGGGGGACAGGTCCTGGTGCCACATTCATAGAACTACACGGCCCTGGCTCCTTCCAGGACCCAGAGGCCTGGACAGGAAGTGCTGGAGCAAAAGCGCTCCCATTCACACCAGATTCCACCAGCTCCTCAGGGGCTTCCGTCCCAGCCGGGGCGGGGGGCGGACACCTGAGAGGAGAGGCAGAGACCTCCCAGGAGGGTGGTGCGTGGCCCCTCCCTACAGCCCATGGGACGACCGCACGGGAAGCCGCTGGAGAGCCGCCACTGAGCAACGTGTTTTCCGTGAAATAAAACTAAAAGGCTCCTGGTCTCTGTTTACCAGGTAGATAAAGAAATCATAGTCATCAAAAGTAGCAAAGTGTTCATTAAACTTGATACAAAGTATATATTTAGGTGTCTGAATGTTTCCTGATGGAAGCATTTTCAAGGGCATTTGCCTCAGCTATGGGAACCAAACATTTACATGAAGGAAGGTTTAGAGGTGAACGTCCACTGCGGAGGTCGGAGAAGCACTCAGGTCAGCGGGCAGAGCGGCTAGTCGGTGGGCCGAGCTCTCTGCTACCCCCGCAGGAGTGTCCCGACGCCATCCCAGAAGCAGCACCTGTGGGCCACGGCGTTTGCTTAGAGCCTGGACTGAGGCTGCCTGGACGGGGCCCCTCACCCGGCCAGAGTTAGGGGTGCCGCTGCCACCCCCATGGACCCGCTTCGGGCTGCTCAGTCCTTGTTCATTTGCATCCATCTTGGTTTTTAGGAAGGCAAGTTTCTCAGGAGCTCAGAAAATTAATTTCGTAGTGATTAGGCTATCCCCAGAGTAACACGTTCCAACTGTCACCAGCACGGACTTCTCATGAAGCCTGGGACCATTTGCAAGGACTCCCGGGTGTGTGTGTGTGTGTGTGTGTGTGTGTGTGTGTGTGTGTGTTTTCCTGTGTCCTCTGAGTAGACACCGCTATGAATGTAGACTTGAGGTTTCTTGGCAAACATGTGTCCTCACTTATGTGGCTGAGGATTCTTCCCCGACTCAGGATGCAAGTGCCAGGGGACCCGAGTCTCCGGGGAAAGCTGGGTGCATGCACGGTTCTTTGATCCGTCATTTGAATAATTAGCTCTTAATTAGCTGTCTGAGTATGATCATCAGCTTGAATGTAAGTTTCTTTAGAGGACACTGTGCTTTCCCATCCTGGTAAGTGGCGATGATGGGTTTCTGGGTATGAGGTTAATTTGAGGAGGAATTCTCACCTCCTAGAGCCTGGCAGACAGCAGTCATGTGGCGCGTTAGCCAATTACCGGGAAAGCTTCCTGTGCCCGGACGGAATCTGCTTCCAGGAGCTGGGGGAGAGGAGGCTGCACATTGCTCCTGGTCACTGCCGGCGCCTTCTGTATCCTCTGACCCACCCTCCTACGGGAGGGAACGTCTCCGCTGGGGAAGACGACCGTGTGGGCTCATCTCCAGCCACTGTGGTGACTATTGTCGTCCCCTTCACTCCGGATGCTCTTTCCCCCATGGCCAGATGCCAGCAGGGTTTGTCCCCAGGACCCTGCAGGAGATCCCCTCTTCATCATCCTGGGAGTGTGACGTGGTCTGCTAAGCAAAGCTCCTTCCCTGCAGCAGGTGAGTCCTAGCTCAGAGGACACGGACGGTGATTTTCCAACTGTCGTGCTCAGAACAAACTTTCACATCCAAGAAATGTTGCAGACATCCTAGAAAGGATGAATCAAACCCACAGGCCCTCAGGCCCCCATGCAACACTGTGCTGCCTTGGCACAGAAATATTTACAGCAGAGTTCCCGTGTGAGCCTGCAGACACAGCAACCATTTTTTATAACAGTTCTCCAAAGTCTCTCCTCTTGAAAACAGAGCAAGTTGCACCCTGGTCTCCGTATCACATCGGCCTGCAGTTTCACACGATCTGCTTGGTTCGGAGTGCTGTCTTTCAGACCTGGCTGTGGCCACATGCTCCTCACAGCTTGCACATCCCTCAGTCTCGGCACCACGCCACACGGGAGGGGTTCCACCACGTCTCTGAGCTTAGGGTGGCCGGTGGTGCCCAGGGGAGGGGGAAGCCCGTGGCAGGCGTGGGATGGATTTGCTGAGTGACTCTAACCACTCCTTATGGAATGAGCACCACCTCGCCAGGGGCCTTGTCCTTGCCATCCTGGGGCCACACGTGTGGCTGCAAGGTCCCTCTGGCAAACCTCCTTTCCCTCTGGGGCTGGTTGAGGACTCCAGGGGGCCAGCCTGGAGACCAAGGCCGTGCTGTGTGGTCAGCAGACCAGTGAGGAGTCAGCAGACCAGTGAGGGGTCAGCGTTCTGCTGTGGCTGCCTGGACTCCTCTTCCTCTCAAGACAGCAGTGTCTGGGGACTGCCAAAACCTCTGCAGGGACCAGCAGCACAGGATCACAGAATTCCACACTTCCTGCTAAATCGGGGTCTCCTTTTCATCCGTCACATCTCCCTTCCCGACTGCACCATCAACATCAGTTCCTCATCTCCACAGCCACCAAGGGCAGCTCAGCTCAAGCTCTAGGACTGGCCACCCCTCTTCCTGGACTGTGATGATGGAGAGAGGCCCCAGTCCCAGGCAGCCACGAGGACGGCGCCTGTCCAGACACACAAAGCAAGGGCCCCGCAGGAGAAGCAAGCCTCCCTCACTCCAGATGCCTCGCCATGAAGCCGTACACCCACCCAGCCGACCTGCACGCGAGAGCTGCTCATTCGTTTTTCGGCTCGGCAGCTGCACGACCTTGTGGGTTCCTGAGCTGCTGGCTGGGAAGCTGAGGTTGGACTCAGACAGGCAGGAGGCACGCAGGCCCCGGAGTGAGGCGCCACCGTGGCTCAGGGCAGAGAATGCTGATCTGAGGAGGGAACATCTAAACTAAGGCTTGGAGGGTGGGTGGTCGGGGGCGAGGGAGGAGTGTGCCCCAGCCTCCTATCTGACCTGAACGTGCCCATTTCCATCTTGGCAGGTGCTGAGGCAGTGATGCTGCCGGGCGGTTCCACGGCCTCTCTCCCCAGGGCTCTGAGTGTCAGGTGGGGGTCCAGGCTGAGGCTCAAGTCAGGTCTGCTCTGTGTGCCCCTCACTCTGCTGAGCTCCAGGCATGTTTTTCCTGAAGCCGATTCCCTGGAACACATTGCAGGGCCTGCGGACATCCACCAGCGTCCACGTGGTCAAAGCCCACCTTAGTGGGGTGGAGAAAAATGTTCCTTCCATGGCCATCAGGAGCAGGGCTGACCATCGCAGGGAGGGCTCACATCTGCCCAGTCTCTGCCAGCGAGTCTCCTCTCAGATCCCACGTGGGCACTCCCTCCCCACCCCTTCGTCTCTAAGATTAAATCCAGGTGCCTTGAGCCCCAGTCCCCATGTTCCCCTCAAACCCCTGTTCCTCCCCACAGAGACACATGGCTCCAGCTCCACACCCGAGCACCTGCTGTTTACGGTTTGTGCTGACCGGATGCTGTTTCTCCTTCCATCTCCACCTGCAAATGTTCTGCTGACCCTCAGGCCGGTTTGAAGACCAGCACAGCCCATGTGAGCAGGGCACAGGGCCCCATCCTGAGTGGCTGGCCTGTCCGGGGGAGGAAGTTCCACCCCACACCCACCCCACCACCACAGGATGTGCCCAGAAGGCGGAGGGACTGGCCACTGTGGGGGCTCCCATGTCCAGGCCGGGCCTCCTCAGCATAAAATCAGCTGACAGCAGCCTCAACGCGCCACTGCCTGAGAGGACACCGCCTCTCCAAACCTGGGAAGAAGGCAGCCACGCCCTGGGGAGGGAACAGGTGGAGGTGGGTGCCAGGACTAGCCAGGACTTCCTCCCAAATATTTAGAAACTTGATTGCAATGAAAAGATAGCATCACTGAATTAAAGACGTCATTTATTATGGAGCTGAGATTTGGTTTGCCCAGCAGCTTAAAACAATGTCACTCACAGCCTTGTGGCACCTTGGGACGGGCAGGTGCCTACACAATTATTTACTTAAGAACATACCTTCCTTTAAAATAACCAATGTTGTACTTAGATAAATGTATTTACATGGGAGACTTTCTGTCACAGATTTGATGTCTCGTGATCATTTCTCTTAGTATACATTAAAAGTTAATTATTGTCAGAAAAAGTTATCTGAAACCTGGAACTAAGTCCCTAAAGTGGGCAGGGCTGGGGGGAAGGTTCCCGAGACCTGGGCTGGTTCCCAAGACCTGGGCTGCGGGGGACTTAGTTCACCTCCCAGTTTGCTGTTCAAAGGTTCCAGACTCAGAGACGTGTCCCATTATCTGGATTTTAGCCGAAGGCAGATGCAGTGATCTCTGTCCAGGGAGACAGATAATCCACAGATTTCAGGCCGGCTGGACATTAACCAGTCCATAACCCAGAGGTCTTATCTCAGCCTTTCTTGTCAAATTGCCTGTAAACACCTCTTCTGTGAAGTGTGCTCAGCAGCCAGTCACAGCGTCTGCCATAACATCGCCCCTCATTTGTTAATGAATTCAATGAAATCTTCGACGTGTGCCCATTTTCCATTTGCTGGAGAATCACGATTTTACCCTTTTGAAAATTATACGTTAGCAACCATAAACTGTTCTCTAAGTACATACAGGCAGCAGCTTAAAATCCTCCTGTGGGCTAAAGGCTGGGCAGTCCTATCAGGGCTGTGATGGGGGGAGGTGGCTGGTTTGTGGAGGAACTTCCCCTCCCTCCCTCCCTCCTTCCTTCTTTCCTTCCCTCTCTTCTTCCCCCTTCCCTCCCTCCTTCCCTCCCTCCCTCCTTCCCTCCCTCCCTCCTTCCCTCCCTTCCTCCTTCCCTCCCTCCCTCCTCCCTTCCTCCTTCCTATTCTCTGTCCCTCCGTCCTTCCCTCCCTCCCTCCTTCCCTCCCTTCCTCCCTCTCTCCCTCTTTCCCTCCTTCCTTATGTGAGACATGTGAGAGTCTCACCCCAGCCTTGGGGGACACAGCAGGACGCAGGCAGTGGGTGTAGTGGCCACTGGGTGGGCTGGAGGGGGCTGCTCAGAGGAAGTCTCTCTGAGTGCTTGGGGAATGAAAGGCCTTTAATGAGTAGAGACCGGAAAGGAGCAAATGCTTGTGTGTTTCTCAAGAAAACAGTGTGAGGGAAGGCACAGAAGCAGCTGGAGGAACAGGAACAGCTGGGGAAAGGGCACGCGTGGCCAGACAAGGAGGTCTAGAAGAGGCAGTGCCCTCACTCTCTGCACAGACCTCGTGCTGGGGATGGATGGAGACCAAGAGTCTGACCTTCTAGTGGGGGGTGTTTGAAAGCCCCTTAGGGCCCTGCCACCTGTGGTTTGGTGTTGACAACACCTGCTCTTCCCTGGGGGATCCGTGGACCTCCCTGCATGGTGCATGTGGCAGGGCCCTGTGGCTCCAGAAAATTCCTGGCCACCGTTGGGGTGCGGGGCAGGGTCAGTGTGCCCGGGTCCATGCCAGGCCACCGCTGCCCCCCAGGCTCACGACAGGACGGCGAGTGCTCCACACAGGTGGGGTGCCCTAGTTCTGTGCAGGTGCACGTCCGAGTGTGGCCTCTGAATCAATTCCCTGAATCAGCCCCACAATGGGGATGTCTGTGTAGACACAGCCCCTCGTTCCCAGCCCTACCAGCAACCTGAAAGGAGCCGTGTTCCTCGAGCCTATAAAATTAACCCCTTCAGCTGGCTGCTTACCCTACAGTGTCTCTGGTGAACCCACAAGGCCCAGCCCTTCCCAACTGGCCAGGACCTGACCCAGGAGCTGGTCTGCGGGAAGGCGTGGGCTTAGAAGGAAGTGGGGTGTGGGGCTCACGGCCCCTTCCTGAGGCTGCAGCTGCCCTGGGGAGGCCCCTGTGCTGAGACATCTTGGAGTGAGGGTGTCCGCTGAGAAGAGGGCTTAGCCGAGGCCCCTGGGTGGAGGTTCCTGGTGTTCACCCACCCTCCCTTCCTCCCGAGACCTGGCCGGCTGGCGTCCCCTTTGGTGCCGGTTGGAGGCTCTGCCTGCAGGCTGGGCTCCTCCCCAGTGGGAGCTGGTGTTCCTGGTATCACAAGAGCGTCTCCTGCTTCCTCTTCTTGCACAGGCAGGACCGTCAGGCCAGCCTCAGAGCCCTTTTCTTCTCCCAGCTCCCCCAGAAGTTGCCCCCTAATCACCCCTTCCAAGGACATTTCCCTTATTTTCCACTCAAGACAGCGCGAGGCCATCCCTCCTGCCCCCGTGTCAGAGCCCCCGAGGCCCCCAAGGCAGACACGAAGCTCATCCCGAGAGGGACCTCGTGAGGGCTGCGGTGGCCCAGCGGGAGGTGCTGCGTCCTGACCACACACATCACAAGCTCCAAGTCAGCACCTGTGTGAGGAACAGGCTCTATTCACGTCTCTCAACGTGGAGAATGAGCTTCTACCGTGCTAGGAGCTTCCTTGCCTGCTGTGCACTTTCGTCTGATCAGCAGCCAGATGCTTTTACAGTGTTCCCACAAGGACAGCGAGCACCAGGACCCCACCTCTCGATTGTATTGTGTCCAGTTCTACTGCGACTCCAGGATAGCCCCTGAGAAAGGAGAACACAAACACACAGAAAGGGAACATCAGCTCTGCCCTCCCTGAGCGCCTTGTCTAAGTCTGAGGGTGGTGCCACCTCTGATGGATGCTGAGGTATGGAGCCTCTGTCATCTATGACCAGACATATGGGGCAGGCAGAGATACACAAAGGCCTGCAATGGGAGCAAACACAGGCTCTGCACAGGAGCCTCCGGTGGCCTCGGGGCCAAACGTCACTGTGTCCAGCGGGTGGGGGAGCTCCAGGCTGCCGGCAGCCGGCCGTCCTACACGTCAGGCTAGAGGAGCACCCGTGGCTTCTCTGGCTGGGCCTGAGGTGGGAGTGATGTGGGGAGGGTGGTGGTAAACAATCAGAGAAACTGGCAGTGTGGACCAAGTCCTGACCTCGGGGCAGCTGCTGCAGAGGCCCTGGCCAGAGTCCCATGGGCATCCTCAGTCCGGCTGGGGTTGGGGTGTCCCTGGAGGGTCCGTGTCCCTGGAGGGTCCGTGTCCCTGGTGGATCCGTCTCCTGGAGGGTCCATGTCCCTGGAGGGTCCATGTCCCTGGTGGATCCGTCTCCTGGAGGGTCCGTGTCCCTGGTGGATCCGTGTCCCTAGTAGATCCGTCTCCTGGAGGGTCCGTGTCCCTGGCGGATCCGTCTCTGACCGCGCGTGCTCTTCACCATGGAAGGAGGTGCTGGTAGCCAAGCCGCCCTCCCCAAGTGGGCGTCCACTTTGAGGAAACGCGTGTGTGAGTCCCCTTGTTGGCTGGGTGTCTCCGTCTAAAGGGACAGCTGGAACTCCCCACAGTACAAGGTCTCACCAGGGCCCCTCAGATCCCACACAGCTGCAGGGATGTCCCTGCTGCCCGAGGTCTGGTGAGAGGCTTGATGGAGGATTCTGCCAACCCCCACCTCAAAACCCTCACAGCAGCTGCATTTTGAGGTTTTGTTCAATTTTATTTGCAGGTCTTCAAAATGAAAAAAATTTATATGTACCAGGCCAGGTGTGGTGGTGGCTCATGCCTGTAATCCCGGCAGTTTTGGAGGTCAAGGTGGGCAGATTGTTGAACCCAGGTCTTTATGGCCAGCCTGGGCAGCGTAGTGAGACCTCACCTGTACAAAAAATTAAAACGTAGCGAGACACGGTGGCAGGATCGCTTGCGCCCGAGAGGTCAAGGCCGCAGTGAGATGTGATCGCACCACTGCACTCCAGCCTGGGTGACAAAGTGAGTCATTTCTCTCTCTCTCTATCTATATATATAATCCAGTGAATCTAAAGCATTTCCACGTTAAAAGTCACAAGGATCATTTCAAAGGAAAAATGGACCTGAGCTACTCTCTGCCTCAGCTCAAGACCCTGCTGGGGAAATCGTTAGGTGGAGCCTTTGCTGGAAACAGCACCATCAGGTCCGCCTGTGCCCCAGCGCCCGGGGAACACAGGCATCCCTCCCCTCCGGAGGGCCTCCCCAGGCGGTAGAGACCAGTGCATTAGGCAGAGGCCTCGGTCCTGCCCGGATCTGCCATCTCCTCGTTGTGTGGGTTCCAACCTTGCTTTAATAGCTCCCACACCATTACCAGGAAATGGATCCACTTACTCTGTGCGGATGAGAATTCCATTAATGTTCGCTCTGACCTTTGCTAATCCCAGCGTCATTCGCAGTGCCTCCATCTCAAAATCTCCTTAATGCCAAAGGCGGTAATGGGTGTCTGCTGTGCCTGCCTAATGAGCTGTAAAATGAACCAGTGGGTGATTTGTTTCTTGCCGTCAAGACCCTGGTTAAGTGACGGCCAGGACGGTGGAAGGAAGGCCGGGGGTCCTGTCCCCCAGACGGCACTCCAGACATCAGGCTCTCGGATCACAATTGATTCAAAGGTAAAAACACGTTCATGCACACACCTGGTTTTCCATTCTCTTAACATTTTTTTCTCCATAATTAGTTTCTCCAGCATCATCTTGGGAGAATGTTGACGTCACTGATCTTGGTTTCTCGGATGGTGATGAATCTGGGCAGGGGGCTGGAGTGGAACCTGCCAGCCCCTCCTCAGCCCGGGCGCCCGACCTCAGCTCCCTCCAGCCCTGGACTCTGTTTTCTTCCAAGACTGGGCCCTGCTTCCCTGCACCACGGTCCGCCTGGATCCTGCACACCCAGCCCGGTGGCTCCTGCCCACTCAGCGGGGCCCTGACGCCCTACATCTCCTCTGTGAGCAAAAGCTCTCTTGTTGTTAGAGAGACTTGCGGAAGCCACACACCCATAGACCGTTACTTCTACACATTCTTTTTATTTCACACAGATCTGCATCCCTTGAAGTACTCACGGGGACGTATTCCGCATGGTTTCCATCTTAGTGCACATAGAACACGGTTTTAACTTACAATCGGCACTGTCTTCTCAAGATCTGTCACTTTGAAAACGTCATTGCCAATAATTGTACATATTGCGTTAATTTCCTAAATCACTATTCACCATCCATCCTTCAAATGCTGAAAACACTCTCTTGATTCCCAATTTAAATACTTTTACAGGCAATACCACAAATGCCTTTAGAAATGGAAGTTTGTCTTCTTCTTGTTATTTTTGTCTCTTGTTTCTTCCATCGAATAATGGCCTTGTCGAGTTGGTGAGAGTGAATCACTTGTGAGTCTTGATTTCCAAAGAGGCTGAGCAGATTTACAAGGCCACAAACACCTACTTCAGATGAGACCTTTGGGGTCTCTCAGGAGGGGCGAGAGACAGAGCCGGTGACTCGCTGGGCGCTGACAGGACCCGCAAGGGTTGGTTCGTCAGTATCCACCACCCCCTTCCTCTCGCTGATGCTGCTCTGAATCTGACACTGTGGATTGGTTCGGCTGCTGTAGGATTTTCTACAAACGGAACATGGACAGGTCCTCTTTGGGTCCGCCCTTTGGTCTCAGCATCATGGCTGAGACAAGTCCTGTCGTAGCTATGTCAGAGTGGCGGGGTCCTCACTTCTCACTCCTGTCCAGATTCTCCTGTGTGTACCCCACAGGCTGTGCACCCGCTCTGCCATCAGTGGGCATCTGGGGCGCATGGCAGACCATGTGCATGTCGGCCATGTGAGCCCATGTCCTGGTGTCCACCCCATGCAGCCTGTCCCGGGGGTGGCCTGAGGCTGCCTTGCCTCCCCTGGGCTGAGGCTGGGACACCTGTGGCCTGTCTTACCCTTTTGCTGGCGTCCTCTGGGGAGTATCCAGAAGTGAGGGGCCCCACGGAGAGGCGCATGCAGCAGGAACCCCAGGCAGTGCCGGCAGCCCCAGGAGAGAATCCCACCAGCCGCCATGCGAGTGAGCTTGGAGACCACGCAGTCGGGAGAGGCCGCCCGGCCACAGAAAAAAGTCGTCCTGTTGTTCAGGATCCAGGCCAGGGTCATCTGCTGAGCAGCAACAGACAAGGAAAACCGCCGTTACGGGCACTGCTGCCATCTCGCAATTTACATAAAGTCTCAGCTCTGTGCGTGGGACAGCAGCGTTTGAAGCTGTCCCCATCAAGGGCCTGTACAACCACCTCCTTCACAGTTAGGGGTTGGCCGTCCTGAGGCTGCCCGACCCCCTCCCGGCTCCCCGACCCCCTCCCGGCTCCCCGACCCCCTCCCGGCTCCCCGACCCCCCTCCCGGCTCCCCTTGTCTGGGAAGCAGCTCTCTCCAGTGTAGCCACTCAACACGGCTGGTTTCATTGCAGCAGCGCACGCCCACCTGTGGCCACCCCGGCCTCCTCCCCGACACCCACACGGAAGGCCGTGTCCCCTCCCCTCCGTGTCCTGGGCGCAAAGGGCGCCCGGAGTGCCTGCGTGTGGACGCACAAGCCCAGGGCCACGGCGCTGCAGGGCAGCCCTTTTCTCACTGCAAGCCTGCACCCTTCTCTCACTGCTTTCCAGGGGGAGCTCTCTCAGGTCCAGAGCCCCACGGCTCACACCTCCTCTCCTGCCTCTGGCTTCCTGTCTTCAGGAGGATATTTCAAGTTCCAAGAAGGTACTCAGTAACTTCTTTGACTAATATTATGTTGAGAAATGATCATTTTACTTTCAGGTGCTTTTTAAAAGCTACATTCACAGAAATTTTAAAAAATCTCAATATGCGGTCATCTGCGTTTTCTGCTGGGGCACGCTTCAGTTCTGTGTTGGACACTGCGGAGAGTAGAGGGCTGGGCACAGCATCTGCACGGAGCCGGGCGCAGCACCTGCACGTGCAGACAGGGGAGGGCCCCTGGAGGGCTCAGCTCCCGCGTGAGGGTCCAGCCTGGACACAAGGTTGAGACGCACATGGGGACAAGTGGGAGGTATTGGGTGGGGCACAGGGGCTAGGAGGCCAAGGGCTTGCTCCTGGAATTCTATACAGGCCTGCAAACCCTGCTCAGTGGAACACCACACCAGACACAGTTCTGGGGCTGGAGGAGCCGCAGCCACCCCGGGACCCCCACCATCCTGGCATCAAGGGCCTCAGACTCTGCTCTCTGTAAGCTCCCTCTGGAGGGAGCAGAGCCAGTGAGATCTGGAGAACAGAGGGTACCTGGGCCCTTCCTGGAGAGTGGGGGACACTTCGTGTTCGTGGGAACGTCCAGCTGCCATGAGGGTCCCTGGGGCAAGCTGGAGGTACGTGCGGAGAAGGGGGCCAGCTCCTCTCAGGCAGCCCACTCCAGCCTATCTGTGACACTGGCTTCACGAGGGGAGTGAGGAGAGGGATGCGGGCCCTTAGCAAACCAGGAAGCCTGAAAAACACCTATTGACAAGAGCGGGTCAGAGGAGCTGGGGAGACGGCCCAGGTCAGCCCAGTTCAGAGGGAGAGGGCCCAGGTCAGCCCAGTTCGGGGGGAGAGGGCCCAGGTCAGCCCAGTGCGGGGGGAGAGGGCCCAGGTCAGCCCAGTGCGGGGGGAGAGGGCCCAGGTCAGCCCAGTGCGGGGGGAGAGGGCCCAGGTCAGCCCAGTCCGGGGGGAGAGGGCCCAGGTCAGCCCAGTGCGGGGGGAGAGGGCCCAGGTCAGCCCAGTGCGGGGGGAGAGGGCCCAGGTCAGCCCAGTGCGGGGGGAGAGGGCCCAGGTCAGCCCAGTGCGGGGGGAGAGGGCCCAGGTCAGCCCAGTCCGGGGGGAGAGGGCCCAGGTCAGCCCAGTCCGGGGGGAGAGGGCCCAGGTCAGCCCAGTCCGGGGAGAGAGGGCCCAGGTCAGCCCAGTCCGGGGGGAGAGGGCCCAGGTCAGCCCAGTGCGGAGGGAGAGGGCCCAGGTCAGCCCAGTGCGGAGGGAGAGGGCCCAGGTCAGCCCAGTCCAGCTGAGGCTCTCGGAGGACAGGACCCGCCCCGCGCTGCCAGTGCCGAAGCTTGGGTTCTCTGAGGACTGCGAGGGGGTCTCAGCACTGTGTCCACAGATGGGGCAGGGACCTCCGCAGGGAACCTTCTCTCGGCTGGGCCAGCCCACCCCAGGGGCTGTAGACGAGGGAGTTAATGAACACGGGATGGGTTGAGCCGCCTGGTTTGCCCACAGAGGGGCGAGGAAGGGAGTGGGGAGTCTGCTGTGAGCGGAGAGAGGACAGCCTGAGGCCTCAGGAACGCTGGCTGCCTGCCTGCAGCGGGAGCTAACGGGGCGTCTGTCGGGAAGGGGCACGGCCACAGGATTTAGGGGCAGTTTGGACACACTGGTCCGGTGAGCTTGATTTCAGATTCCGGGATCTGGTTTCGGAGTGGAGTTGTGGACTCTCCAGGACCCATCGCTGAGGAGCAGGAGGTTCTCCAGGGGCCATGGGGCCCGGGGCTCTGAGGGAGGCTCTGCACTCCCAGCATGAGGTCACCACAGGGCTAGGCCAGGGCCCAGACACAGCAAGCCACCAAGAGGAGGCCGGCCGGCGTGGAAGCCTCGCAGAGGGTGAATTCCAAAGAGGGCCCCTCCTGCTCTGAGACCCACACTCCCGAGCCACACTCAGCAGGTGACGTGCAACAAGACCCTTAGGGTTAGGGTTAGGGTTAGGGTTAGGGACCCCAGGCTCCATGCATGCCAGGGAGAGGCAGCGGTGTGCGAGGGCCTCCTGGTGCCTGGCAGACCAGGAGTGAATTTTGGCTGTCACCTTCTCTGAGTTACTCCAGTGTAGAGAGGCAAGGCCTGGGTCCAGGGTTGTCTCAGTCTCAGTGCAGCCCCTCAGAATGGGGGGCCCATGCCTAGCACCCTGGGTGGGGAGGAGCAGGCAGCTAGCTGGAGCTTCTGGCCCTTTTAAAAGAGGCCCCATTCCCTGGGCCTCGAGGGAGTGGCTGTGCACATTCAGACATGCACTGACCCATGTACACACACACATACACGCACACGTGTATGCACACTCACACGTATATTTGTACATACACATGTGCATACATCCACATGTACAGGTACACACAGGTATGCACGAAGGAGGTTCCCAAACCCTTTCTGCACCCCTTAGCTGCCTTCCAAAGGGACACGTCCTGATTTCCCTGTGGTGGGACACTGAGCATGCCCAGCTTCTGCGGGGCCAGGTGACGCACACGAACTCAGGGTCTGCTGAGGCAGGTGCATTGGCGACGGTGGACAGCAGAGAAGTGGGATGCCTAGCGGCAGGGGCTCTGCCCTCACAGCTCCTCTGCCAGGCAGGGACCAGGTCCCGCTGTCAACCAAGGGAAGCCAGGCCCTGGCCACCCGGCCCTGCATTTCAGAGGGGGCAGCACCCAGTGTTCTGGGGTCTCAGTTACTGAATGAGCCTGGGCACCTGCCTGCCCTCTCTGGCCTCAGTTTACCCCCTGTACTGCTGGGCGAGGGATCAGGGCATAGCGAAGGACCATTTCAGCTCCGCTGGTGCCACACTGCTGAAGTCCTGGCCGCTTTTTCCTGCATCCTGGGGTTTTCTGACAAAAGGGGAGCATGTTAGTGCTTGAAATGGCCTCACCTCTTGCTATTTTTGCAGGAAGCCTGAACGCAGTTGTTAAAAATAGAAATAATGAAGGAAAGCAGCAGCTTCTGCCCTTGAGTCCTGAGGCCAGGACAGGACTCCCAGGATCCTCTCCAGGCTTGTGATGATAAATGATCATTGGGCTGCATTTGTCCTTAGCTAATTTATCCTTGGCCTAGAGAGAAAGTTTCTGCCTTTTTTTTTTTTTAAGAGGAAAGCTGGAAAGGTGCTTGAGGCCTAATAACTTTGCTTGGTCTTTTTTGGGCACTGGGCCCTGCATTTTCCACCTGGCAATGCTGTGTGGGGCTTCTTCCAGGCACTCTGTGGGCCTCATGCCGCCTGTGCTGGCCGGAGCCAGCGTGGCGATCAGACGTCTGGGTGTGCCCGGCACGACCCCACCTCGCCGCTCCCCTGAGCTGTCCTTCCCCTGCAGAGGGGCCAAGAAGCACCCCTGGGAGGCCATTAGTGTCAGCAAGAAAGGTACGGCAGGGCGGGGCCAGGACAGGGTGAACAGGACCCCAGCGCTTGGTGGCCACGAGTCCCAGCTCTGGGAGGAACAGGCCTTGAGGATGCAGAGAGGTTTGCATTGGCAAAAGTCTCGGCATCTCTCATTTTTCCCGTACATGCACCACCACCGCTGCTTCCTGCTGTAGCCCCTCTCCGCCAAGAGGCATTCCCAGCCCCCAGGACCATAGAGAGGGGCAGGGGTCTTCAGCGTGGCTGAGGGCCACCGCCTGCGGCACGTGGGAGGAAGCTGCCAACTACCCCCATCCCCTGAGCTGAAGTCTCCTTGCATCTGGGCCTTGATTTTTTAATGCGAGATGCAGCTCAAGGCTTGCGGTCATACTTCTGTCTTCAGGTGCGAAAACTGCGTTTTCTTCTTGAGTTCCGTGTTTCAGGGAGAGAATCGTGAAGAAACAGACTAAAGGACTTTGTTGCAAGCTACAGTCATGAAGAAGGACACGTGGGTGAGGCTGGGAGCCCGGGGAGCCTGGTGTCAGCCCCAGTCCGAACAGCGGAGCCAGCAGGAAGACCCTGCCTCTGTGAGTGTGTGGGGTGCTTTGGAGATGGGGGTGTGTTTAGATTTTGTCTCTTCCATGTTATTCCCATGGCAGGCTCTGCACCAGTCCCCGGCGCTGCCTGCGGCATCTGATTCTGCCGGCGCTGCCCGCTTAGCTTATGGGTATGCAGAAGATCTGCATCATGGTTCCTGCTGAAGAAGGGAGTGTGTGGCTGTGTGTGTGTGGCTGTGTGTGTGTGCGTGTGCACAGGCATGCACACACCTGTGTTTACATGAACACATATGAATACAGTGTATGTGTACACACACAAACACGTGTGTGCATGTGAGGTACATGCATGTGCACATTTGCTTACATGTACGTGTGTGTGTGCACGTGCATACACATGTGCGATTGGCAAGTGTGTGCATGCATATGTATATGGGCACATATATGTACAGGCATGTATGCACGTTTGTGTGTTTGGTGTGTCTATATATGTACGTGTATATGGCCACACACGGATACAGGTATGTATACACCTGTGCATGCACGCTTGCCCAGACACACAACTGCACACCTCCCTGCCCTGCACCCTGCCTTTGGGCTCTCCATCGTTGCTGCTGGCTGATAGGTCTTGAAAGGCCCAGGCTGGTGAGTAAGTCCTGCCCCTCAGGTGGGCAAGACTGGGAACAGCCTATCTGGCCTTCTTCAGGTTTCCTCTCTCAGCCTGGAGGAGGGCAATAATGATGCAATTTCTTACAATAATGATACCTTACATTGCATAATCGTTCGGGTCACTCAAAATATTGAAAACAGTAGCACAGAAAGGTTAAAGGGTTCCACAGCAACTCAGCAGCACAGCCAGCACCACGAAGTCGGCCACCGCCCCACACTTTAGTCAGTTGGGTGACCTGGCCGGCCCTGGGAGGACGCCTCATTCAGCTGAAGCTCATCCACATCCACGTCAGGGGGCTCCTTGGTGTCCCGGAGATGCTGCCAGCTCCCAGCCCCAGGACGGGTGTGAGGCTGTGGCCCACGGGGTAGGTCCCACCAGGGTCTGAAACAGTTCCCTGAGGTGCAGGGAGGTGGGAGGCAGTGAATCCTGCTTTGAAAACTGACTTCAGCTGTTCAGGGTGGGTGGGGCGTGGGCTCAGGGGTGCAGCTGACGCGTAGGTTGGCTCCAGCTATCACCCCAGATCTGGTCCATCCGCAACAGCAGCCTTGCGTGTGGGCTGAGCAGTTGGTTGGCCACATCCAAGCTCTGTTGGGAAAAGAAATCCACTGGTGCCTGTGGTAGGAAACCAGTGCCTCATCCTTGGGCCGGATCAGGTGATCTGAGGGGTGGGAACTGCTGCCCCCGGCTTGGCTGTTCTCCATAAGCCGGACAGGCCGACCCATATGCGCGTGTGTGTGAGCTCGTGGTGAGCAGAGCCCTCCCCCTTCAGCGGAGGTCTGTGACCACCTCCCCGAGCTCCTTCCCTCCCCAGGGCACCGCCGAGGCCTGGCTGACATCACGGGGTGTCCTGCCCAAGGCCCTGTGGTTACTGGACACACTCAACCTGCTGCCTCTGGCCTTTTCCTCACTTTCTAAACCTTCTCTCCACTTCCCAGGGAACTCCTCCTGCACAAGGCGTCTTGGCTCCTGCCCTGCTACACCGACCACGTCCCTCCCTCAGCCGGTCCCCGATACTGAGCACCTTAGAGGCAGCCACTCTTCGCAGGCCTGGTTACCTGTCTTGCACCATGTGCATCTCCTCCTGTGCATGGAGGAGGAAACCAAGGCTTCCAGCCCCAGAGCTCGCAAAGGCAGAGACCCCAGGCTCCCTGTGTGCTCCTGTGCATGGAGGAGGAAACCAAGGCTTCCAGCCCCGGAGCTCGCAAAGGCAGAGACCCCAGGCTCCCTGTGTGCTCCTGTGCATGGAGGAGGAAACCAAGGCTTCCAGCCCCGGAGCTCGCAAAGGCAGAGACCCCAGGCTCCCTGTGTGCTCCTGTGCATGGAGGAGGAAACCAAGGCTTCCAGCCCCGGAGCTCACAAACGCAGAGACCCCAGGCTCCCTCTGTGCTCCTGTGCATGGAGGAGGAAACCAAGGCTTCCAGCCCCGGAGCTCGCAAACGCAGAGACCCCAGGCTCCCTGTGTGCTCCTGTGCATGGAGGAGGAAACCAAGGCTTCCAGCCCCGGAGCTCGCAAAGGCAGAGACCCCAGGCTCCCTGTGTGCTCCTGTGCATGGAGGAGGAAACCAAGGCTTCCAGCCCCAGAGCTCGCAAAGGCAGAGACCCCAGGCTCCCTGTGTGCTCCTGTGCATGGAGGAGGAAACCAAGGCTTCCAGCCCCAGAGCTCGCAAAGGCAGAGACCCCAGGCTCCCCGTGGGCCAGGACCACTGGCCTTTCCCTCCGCTGCTTGGGGCGTCCTGCAGTACCGGGCTCAGGGATGGAACCCTCACGCGGAGCCAGGACGAGCAGGCCACACAGAGGGAATGCCGACCACGTCCCTGAAGCCACAGTGGTGAGGAGGGGACTGTGCACTTCAGTGTGAGGTCGGGAAGGCAGCGTCCTGCTCGGATTGTAGAAACGGGCAGAAACCCCGACGTGGTCTCTCCTCGGTTTAACCGAGAAGATGCTGAGGCCTGGTATCCACTGTCCTCCCTCCCGAAGGCCAGACTCAAAAGGAGGAAGTACAGGAGGATGGTGCAGCTGGGCTTGTCCCCTCACGGCCCCAGATGCGGCCTCCGCCACGGTGTGGTCTCTGCATGCAGGCCCCTCCATGCTGCAAGAGGTGGCGGGCTCTGGGGCCGCATCGCACCCCCGATTCGTGTCCTCCAGCCTGTTTCCTCGCCTTAGGTGGGACGCGATCACCCGCCTGCGGGGAGTCTTGCTGCCGTGCGACAGTGAGTAGAGGCCGGGCACAGGCCCACAGCAGGCGCTCAGCAAACGCTCACTCCCAGGTCCCCGTGTGCCCGTCTAAGAACCGCGAGGCTTCAGGCCTCCAGGAGGTGTCTTGCGGGGGCAGCCGCTCTGACGTCGCCTCTGCCCACTGTGTCTGGATCCCTCGTGAGGGGCCCCCAGACCAGAGGCAGCCGAAAGGTAGAGTCCAGATGCGGAGGGAAAGACGTGATCTCCGAATTCCGTGATGACAGGTGGGCAGCGGCAGCTGGAATTACACACCAGTCCCACAGCTGTGGTTTTAAGCACTAATATTTTACAGGTAAGAAGCTCCATCTCCCACGGCAGATTGCAACCGTCAGGGTTGTTAGATTCGTGCGGACCGGACGATGCGTCTAAAGGAAAACGGACCCAGGCAGGAACAGCAGCGGCCGCCCGAGTGTTGGCAGAAGCAGGCCTGTTGCTGAATTGTGACGTTTGTAGAAATCGCTGTTTTAGCCGCTGTTGGCTCCTCTCAAGCTCCTGACAGTGATCCCAAGATCTGCTGGGAAGCACCTTCCCCGGCGACTCCTCGGGGACACCGGCTCCAGCTGCAGCCTCAAGTGACCCCTTTGCCGGAGTCCAAGAAAAGAGAAGCTGCTTCCGTGGACTCTTCTGTCCCAGATGAAGCCGCAGCGGCAGGAAGTGGTAGCTGGCTGCTCTCAGGGTTTATTTGGTTGGGACAAGAGGTCCCAAAGCTGTCCTTGGGAAGGAGCTTAGGCGGGGCTGAGCTGATGTGTGCCTCGAGGAGCGGAGGGAGAGACAGGGCAGGAGACAGGGAGAACACGGTCCAGAGGCAGCGGGGAACAGTGGGAGGGAGAGCCGGGCCCTCTGCAACGCCGGCTGTGGGCTGGGACAACAGGGGAGGGTGAGGCAGTCCCAGCTCTCAAGGCCTCTGGCCCAGGATGAGGTGTGAGATGGCCAAGCTGCCGTGGGGCCGCCCGGGAGGAGGAGAAGCAAACCCATCAAGGAGGGCTCACAGGCGTGGTGATATCTGACGAGGCTCCTGAAGGGTGGGTAAGAGTTTTCCAGGAAGGGTGGTTGGAGGGAGCACTAGGCGAGTGGCCGGCACGAACCAAGGCCTCGGGTCCCCAGAGCCCTGTATGGGTCGCAGTTGGGTCTTCCCAGGTTAGGGTTGAGGTTCGGGTTATGTCTCTTCCACAGCCCTTGAGAGCAATAGGATTTCAGCAAATGTAGCTTGTGTGGTTTCTGATGGTCAGAAATAATCCACATTTTAGGATTTCTGTAATCCTGTACTTTAAAACTGGCATCACAGACCATTGCCCCTGCAGACAGCAGCCTGGGCCTCCAAATGGAGGGGCCTGCGGGGGGATGAGCTGTCCGGAGGGTCCACACTGGAGGAGGGGGCAGGCCACGGCCCGGCTGGAGAGCCTCTGTGCCTAGTGGGCCCCGGAGCCCCAGGTCCCTGGTGCAGGGGGTGGAGGTCAGGCAGGCCCTGGGCAGCTGATTGCTGCCTGAAGCCCACCCTGAGGAGGGAGGGAGGCAGGGGAGGAGACAGAACAGATCCCTTGGGGGAAGCAAACCCACATTCCCAGACCCAGGAGCGCCCACGTCAGGGGGACCCCAGGGAGGGCCAGCCCTGCGTGTACACCCCTCCTGCCAGGACCCTGCTTCGGAGGTCACACCAGCTCCTTGTGGAATGGTCTGTTGGAGCGGACCTGACCTGGAGAATCCACGCCTCTCACACATGGAGCTGGGCAACAGCTGGCACCCGCCCCCTCGGCCTCAGCCTCCCTGGGGGCTCCCCCGCCACAAGAGGGGCCGTCCCGGGTGCTTTGAGTGGAGTGAGCTAGAGAGTCGGATATTAGGGCCACCTAGGAGAGCCGGCCTTGTCCATCGCCTGGCCGGGGCTGGACTGACGTGAGCTGTCTCCAAGTCCAGGAGGAAACTCACAAACTCTGAGCTACACAGCAGGTATGAGTCCTGCTGCAACACAGTGCGCTTTAAAAAGTGTGAATAAATTGAAACTTCATGAAATAGCCTATATTTACAATATCCAGACAAAATTACCTCTTTTTGTCTTTTATTTATTTAGTTACTGAGAGAGGGTCTCGCTCTGTCACCCAGGCTGGGTGCAGTCACGGCTGACTACAGCCTCGAACTCTCAGACCCAGAGGTCCTCGTGCCTCAGCCTCCTGAGTAGCTGGGACCACAGGTGGGAACCACCAGGCCCAGCTAGAATGCTTTAAAAAGAGTCATCTAAGGCAGAGGTAGAAGTTACAGCTCTAGGGCCCAAGTCAGCCTCTGTTTTTGTCCAACAGAGGGCTAAAAATGATGTTTATATCTTTAAATAGTTGGAAAATCAAGAGACTATTTTGTGACATGTGAAACTTATAGGAAATTCAAATTTTAGCATCCATAAACAAGGAGATGTGGGGACACAGCCACACACACTCATCACGTGGGTCGAAGGCTGCTCTGGGCCACAGCGGCAGAGGTGAGCGTTTGCACCAGAGGCAGAGTGACCTCGAGGCCTGAAGCACACCGTCCAGCCCTTCACAGAGCGGCGTGCCAGCCCAGCTCTCGGGCTCCCTGGCAAGGCTGGAGCCGCAAGGGGCTCGAGTTTCCCCTGCCCGCAGCCCCCATAACTGGAAGCTGGCTCGCCCAGTGCCCTGATCCCACCCGCCGGCCCCTTCCTGTCCACACATCCCCGCTTTTCCCTGGAAGCCTTTGGTGACAAGTGCAGACACTCTGCCCCTCATCGTCTGGGGTCCTTGGCCGCCTCTCACCTGTCCCCCAGGTGGCAGGTGAGGCCCTCGGGTCCACTCTGAAGGTGATGGGCTGATGCTCCAGGCCGGACATCAGGCTCCGTGACAGCTGGTTCTACACCGTCTTCTCCGGCTGTCCCTGGGGTCACGCCCCTCTCCTGCTGCAGAAACTTGGGTTTCCTCCGTGAGGCTTAAATGAGAGCAGCCTCAGGACAGATGTCCAGGAAAGGCCAAGAGAACTCAAGCTTGACTGTTCCTCAAGCCTGCTCTTGACAGACAGAAGTGGGTTGGGTGAATCTGAGGAAGAGGGGAGAGGGCCTCGCCCCATGGGGCAGGCTTGTTACCGTCAGGACGGGGCTGCTTTGGGTGCTGAGTCCTGGAAGCCGCTCGGACCCATCCATGACTTCTTATGTGTGCTGTCGGCAGCTGACCAGCGGCCACGCTATCCTGGACGCGTGGGGATGGAGCTACGGGGAGGGTGCGGTGGTGACTGCTCCACTGCAGAGCCAGGTATCGCCAGGGGCGCCAGGTGAGACCCAGCAGAGACACAGGTGGAAAGGAGTGAGTCCTCCAGGGTCCCCTGAACAGTCAAGTTCCACCCATTCAGTAGCTTCAAAAACAGGCTCACGATTTGGTGTGGGCCCTGGTCTCCAGCTGGGTTCCCTCACCTTACGGCTCCCCATGGTCACCGGCAACCCAGCATCCCACACTCTGGATGGGGGTCAGGAGTGGAGGCGACAGGAGGCGAGGAGGCGAGTGGGCGGCACAGACAAGGAGGGAGCCCACCCCTGCTCTAGACAGAGTTTAGGAGTGGAGGGGACCGAACAAAAGGAATCGTCTTCATTTCACCTTCTGGTAAGAACAGGCTTTAGCCAAGGAAAGGAGGGGTGGACGTGCAAAGCCCTCCCGTGCGGGAGCCCTGGGACAGAGGAACCATCCCACAGCCCCCCGGGAGCCGCCGATCCCCCCGACACAGCCCCCCGGGAGCCGCCGATCCCCCCGAGACTGGCCTGCACCTGCACATCTGGGGGGCGGGGCCCCGAATTGTCCTGCCACAGTGGCCCCGCCGGCAGGGAGATCAGAGGAAGAAATAAAATCCTCAGGCCTCACCTGGGATCCAGATTCGAGGCCGGAAGAGCAGACTTTGCCGGGGGCACTCACGCAGATCCCCACGTCTCAGGGCACCGCAGTCCTATTACCATAAGCGATCATGCAAAGGTGTGGTAAAAGCCATCTGTCATTCATAAAATGTGATGATGCCTTTCTGCAAAGACATAAGCCATCCCGGGGCTCAGCCAAGAAATGGCCATAAAATCCGGCATAATGACCTCAAAGCACACTTTCCAATATAAAGAACTTTCTAGGCAGCTGTTTCCAGAATTTATCTGTGTGCAATAATTTTACACCTAAAACTATCACTGTGTTCTGTGTCTGGTGGCCTCTTTAGCAGTTCCTCCCCTGTAACAGCAAGAAAGTGCCTTCAACATGCTGATGGGCCCCGGGTCAACATGCTGATGGGCTCCGGGTGACCAGTGACAGCATCAGGTTCGCTTGACAATGGCTTTGCCGTCGGACACAGGCGCAGGTGCCTGGGGAGGTGCCGTCTGTCTTTGTGATCCCCCAGGTTGCCAGGAAGGAGGAGCTCATGCCTCTGTTGAGAAGAGCAGGTTTTGTCTTGGTTGGACTCAGAGACCCTGAGAGCAGGATTTTCCCTCCCAAGCGCTCCCCAGGGGGAGACCCCTCGGGCCAGGACTCCCAGGGCCCACACAGAGCCTGGTGTTCGGAGGACAGAGCCTGTGGGGACCAAGGGCAGGCACAGCTGGGCTCGCACCGACAGCTGGGGAGGGAGGGGGAGCTGGAGCCTGAACTGACCCCTTTGGTGGTGGGGTTGGTGGGGTACAGGGAGTCAATGGCCCAGCCCCAGCGACAGCACAGCAGCTTCCCCAGGAGGAAGGGGAGGCTGAATAGGAGAGAGAACCCCACCTCCTCCACACCTGAGGCCGTAGCCCGAGGCTTTCACTCCAGACCCAGGCATGTACGGGCTCTGATAAGAGGTTCCCTGTAATTTATCCTCACTTGAATCTCAAATTTGCTTCTAAATATCCAATCTTTTTTGTCTAATGTATGCGTTTTCATCCCTAATCACCAAACCTGTAGATTACACTCATGCATGAAATATTTGGTGAATACCTTTTAATTTTACAAAATGTCTCCTTCTGAAATTACTCCTCCGCACCCAGGAAAAAACAGAATGATGTCACTGCCAACTTCGAGGTAAAAGTATTTCGCAAATCTTAACAATTTTAGCTTCTACATGCACGTTAGGAAGTGTTGATGGACACAGGATCATACTCTACCTATTGGAGGAAGGAGACGATTTAATTGATCATGTCTTCAATTCCTGTCCCCACCCTCCCCGGGCCCCTCTGTCCTGGGGGGCCGTGGCCTCGCGATGATCTAGGCTGTGACAGAGGAGCACCCAAATCCTCTTCAGATTCCTTTCAACTCGGCTGTGACGTCTGCGTCTTCATAAGAAAGGACGTGTTTCCGAGCGGCCACTGAGAACTACAGGCAGGCCGACCGGCAAACCACCCACAGCCAGCACCGGGAGCTGCAGAAGCCACGGGGCCCTCACAGGGGTTCTCTGTCTCCTCCATGGAGGTGCTCCCTGTCTATCTGCTGGGCCCGCTCACAGGGCCCCTCCACGGATGGTGCCCGGCCTCCCTCACGTCCTCGAGGCGTCCCTCGGTCAGGTACTTAGAATCTGCGTCTCCCACCTGCTTTTCCCAAGGCTGCAGCTTCCCCTGGACAAGAGCGGAGCCTGGGCTCCCAGTGCCAGGTTACTAGCCCAGGACCTGGCCCCTGGCAGATGCTGGGCATAGGCTTATGAGAGGACTGAAGTGGCTGTGTCTCCACGCAGCCGACAGCTTCACGAGAGAGAAGGGGAGGTCAAGGCCAAGATCCAGTGACAAGAGGACCAGAGCCCCATGACTAGCAGGCCACAGATGGCAGCTAGTTTAGTCCTCACAACAAGGTGAGAGCCAGCAGCTCCCTCCCACAGCAGGAAACTGAGCTCTGAGAGATTCCCTGACATGCCCAGTGCCGTCTGGCTGGTGAGGGACAAGCCGGACCTAGCCCCCATGTGCTGGCTCCAAGCCCACCCTCAGCCCAGCCCCTCCCACAGCGCTGGCCTTTCCTTCCCACACCCCAACTGCTGCCTCCAGCACGGGGACCCCCAGGGAAGGGCAGGACCCTGGGAAGCAGATGTGGGCTTCTTGTTCCTAAGTGTCCAGAATTCCAAGATGGCTTAAACCCAGCATAGGGCTGAATGGGTGAGGCTGGCGAAGAGGTCAAGTTTCTCTGTAAAAATAGTGACCACAATAATAGCAACGTGTGCTTTGTAGCAAAGACTCACTGAGACTCTGCGTGCAAAGTGCTAAGGCCGGCCCAGCTTGCGGCCACGCCAAGTGCCGTCTGCTGTGGGGCCAGCTCCTCCCTCCTCCTCCAGTTCCTCGGGCTGTCTGGTCTGGGGATGTGGCTTTGGGGCTCGGTGGCCTGCAGCCCATCCCCTTGCCTTCAAGGGCCCCTTAGGGCACAGAGCACCCCGTCAGGTAGCATCCCCAGGACGCGGGGCCGGCTGAATCCCTGGGTGCTGTGCCCTCTGCTCTGCCTTCTCCGGGGCCCCCGGCAGGATTGGCCTCCCCGACTCCGGCAGGAACTTGGTGCGGCTGTCCCAGCCCTGGGCATCTTCTCCCTCAGGCTGCGGCCTCACAGGGCCCACGAGGGTCAGAAAGCAGAGGTCTGGCTGTTTTGATTTTTGGGTTTTTATTGAGACAGGGTCCAGCTGTTGCTCGGGCCGGGCTGCGGTGGTGTGATCACCGCTCACTGCAGCCTCGGTTTCCTGGGCTCAGGAGATCCTCCCACCTCAGCCCCCTGAGAAGCTGGGACTACAGGCACGCACCACCACGCCCGGCTCATGTTTTTATTTTTTGTAGAGATGGGGTCTCCCTCTGTTTCCTCAGCTGCTCTCGAACTCCTAGCTCAATCAGTCCACCCACCTAGGCCTCTGAAAGTGCTGGGATGACAGGTGTGAGCCCCTGTGAGCCCAGCCCCTGGACTTTTTTTGGACTCTTTCATATAACTAATATGTAGGCCTGGAAGTCTGGTCATTGCTTTAAGTAGTTTCTTGGTAGAGAACTAAGAATTCTATGTTTGAGAGGCCGTAGGGGCCACATCTGACCCACTTCCTTCTAACTAATTTTTGTTTTTTTTGAGACAGAGTTTCTCTCTTGTTGCCCAGGCTGGAGTGCAGTGGCGTGATCTTGGCTCACTGCAACCTCCACCTACCAGGTTCAAGCGATTCTCCCACCTCTGCCTCCCGAGTAGCTGGGATTACAGGCATGCGCCACCATACCCGGCTAATTTTTGTATTTTTAGTAGAGACGGGATTTCTCCATGTTGGTCAGGCTGGTCTCGAACTCCTGACCTCTGGTGATCCACCCGCCTCGGCCTCCCAAAGCGCTGGGATTACAGGCGTGAGCCACCGCACCGGGCCCAGGTAGAACTATTTTTAAAGCCAGCTTTTGTTCATTATACCACACTGTGTCTACGAACAATCTGTAGACTGTGTGCTCGTGTGCCTGTGCACCGGTGTGTGTGTGTGGATGCCGTGAACAGACTCTAGATTATCTGCCTTTTGGAATTTCCCGACATTGTGTGACCATCAGAACATGATCAGTGTTGCGAATGCTCCATGTGTAACGGACTGTGAGTCCTGTGTTTGACGGATACAAAATAAAGTCAAGCTTTTACATTGTTTTATTCTTGTGTTTTCGGCTTCTTGATCGGTTGCTTTTAATGAAAACGAATGAGTTCTATTTTCAAAGACCCTCAGACGGTGGGTGGGGAACGGATAGCCCAGGAGTCCAGCGTTGGGGCGGACTGGCCGGCGGGCCAGCGACAGCAGCCGGAGGGACGAGCACGACCCTCCCCAGCCACCCCGCGTCCCCCGAACCCAGCCCAGCAGATGCAGAGCTCACATTTTCTCCTGCTAGCGGCTCTCCCGGCTCCCCTGTGAGCCCCGATAGCCAGGCCCATTGCCCGTCAGCACCCACAGCCAAGCGGGAGGCCTGGGGAGGAAGGAATATTGTCCCGTTCTGGCTTTGCCGGCCAGGATTAGAATTGCACGCGGCGCAGCATCTGGCGCCCGCTGGACGCTCAGTAAGGACAAGACGGCTCTCCTCCTCCTGCCACCCAGAGCCCCAGCCTCCTCCCAGCACCCCCAGGCTCCCAGAATAGGCTACGGCCAGAGCTGGCCTGTGGTAAACAGCTCGGAGCCTCCGGGCAGGTCTTGGATGAGTAACCCTCAGCAAAACATCGTGGGATCCAGAAAGGTGCAGGTGCCAGGCCTGAGCTGGGTGGGCCCCTCCAGCACCCCCACCTGGACCCTCCGCTGGGCCACTCCAGGCCAACGCATGGGTGGAGGTGCAGGGGGAAAGCCAGCTCTTGGGCTGCGGTGCCCGCCTCTGCCCCACCTCAGGAGGCTGGGACGTCCCCGATCTGTGTGGGAAAGAAAACCCGTCATCCTGTTGCTGATGGGGCCTCAGCGAGTCGTGGGGGGCCCCTGGGAGGAGGTGGGAGGCACATAAAGCTCCATCTGCTCGTGGACTGCACACTCCCTGGCCACAGCTCCCAGGAGGGCTTTCTCCTCCACACCATCACGCACCCCAAACTTTATGGCCCAGCATCCCTTTCCCACCCTTGTCCATACATCGCGGTGCCCCCTTCACAGAGAAGCGTTGCATGAGTTCCTTCAGTTCTGTTCCAATATCCCCTGCGCAGCCATGCAGACAGGCTTCCTTCTTTCCCCTTCTTGCGCGAGCGACACGGCTCTACACGTCCTCTTATACCTCGCTACTTACGCACGGCGGCCTCTTTCTCCTGGGAAGATCAGTGGCGGCTCCAGCCAGGCCAGCTGGCAGCTCAGGGCTCAGGCGCTGGCTCATCTGAGGAGCCCTGGGCTCCAACCAGCTGCTGGGCAACGCTGGGACGACAACCTCTCCTGTCCTAAAGGGCAGGAGGTACTGCGGCTTCTTCCCCTGCCACAGTCCCAGGGACCTGACGGGGACACTCAGAGACTCTGTCTCTGCCTCCTGTGCGGGGTCATGCTCTGCCTGGAAAGCGCCTCCTTCCTTCCTGGCCCATTGGGAAATCGCAGTGTCCTCTGGCCGGTCCCAGCACCCCCGGGTGGGACCCCAGCGACCCTGCACCCCCCCACTGCAGCCGTCTCCCTCCTCCTGGCAGGGCAGCTGCCAAGCCTTGCCCAGTCCAGGTCTCCCCAGGCAGGATCCCTTGGGGGAAACCTGAGGAGGCAGCTGTTCCCCCACTCCCAGAGTGTCCTCAGAGAACCCCTTCCAGACCCCAAGCTCCAGAGCTCGGCCTCAGGTTCCCTTGCTCGGGTCTGGGAACTGGAAGTCGGTCCCGCTCCCCTCCCTGGCCTCTGCCCCATTTTTCTGTCCGCTTCCACGTAGAGCAGACCAGAATATGCCACCCCAAAATATGCCTCTTTGGCATAAGCATTATTTTGAGCTGCTTATTTTGAGAAACTGCAACCACAGGAGAAATTCTGAAAACAAGAGTGGAAGCTGCTGTTCTATGAGAGAAAGTCACATCCGTACAGGCATCTGCGCTCACCAGGGTGCCCCCTCTCTGGGCCAGAAGGCCGCCTGTAAGTCACCGGAGACGCTCATCCATGGAGAAGGCCTGACCCCAGTTTGGGGTAATTTCTTGGGCCCCTCCCCACACACTCTTTCTCTTTGTTTCCGTCGAACATGGTCTTTAAGGCTGAGCTCCAAGCCACGCCTTTGCGACATAGCCTGTCCCGAGTCCGTCCCTTGCAGACCAAGGTATACATGCTATTAAGCTTCTGTTTTTCTCTTGTTATCTGTCTTTTCCACCTTGCAGCACGAAGCTTCCCCCAGGAATCCTCCACGCCCTCACCTGCACCAAGACTTTCAATTAAGAGCAGCAGTGCCCTCCTGGTGTCTGGTGGTGCCAGGGGGCAGGCCTGGTCCTCAGGCCTGGGGTCTTCTGTCCCCCCTTATCCTGGGGAGCCCATCTGTCCCCCTCATTCCTGGGAAGCCCGTCTGCCCCCCTCATTCCTGGGGAGCCCGTCTGCCCCCCTCATTCCTGGGGAGCCTGTCTGCCCCCCCCATTCCTGGGGGACCCATCTGTCCCCCCTCATTCCTGGGGATCCCATCTGTCCCCCTCATTCCTGGGGAGCCCGTCTGCCCCCCTCATTCCTGGGGAGCCCGTCTGCCCCCCTCATTCCTGGGGGGCCCGTCTGTCCCAGGGCTTTGCATACTGAGGCCTCGCAATCCACAAGCTTTCCTAATTCCCAGCTCATCCACATGACAACAGCCCTTCCCCGGGGGCTCTGGCCGACCTCCCTTCGTCCTCACCACACAGCTGCTCTCCCTGCCCCGCCCTTAGCCCTCCTTAGACCCATCCACCCGGCCCCTAGGTGAGCCTCTCCCGACCCAAGACCCAGCGTCGTCCCTCTGTCCCCAGCCTTCCCACGGCCCCCTCACTCAGGACGCAGCCCACAGCCTGGCCCCACCTGCAGACCTTACAGAGGCCACTTGGCCCCTCACACAATGCCCACCTCACAGGCCTTCTCTCCCCGCAGAGGGTCAGACATGCCCCTGCCCCAGCCTTGGCATTTCCACCCCGCAGGCCTCCACGGGGCTGAGCCCTCAGGTACCAGCTTCTGTGCAAAGCCATGCCTGGAGGCCTTCCTGGGCCACGTGGTCTAAGACAGCAATCCCCTCACACCCAGAGCAGGCAGCCCTCCCTGCCCGGGCCGTCTTATTTTCCTATGTCATTCCTGTCACCACCTGGCGCTCACCTTGGCTAACTGGAGCTCCAGCCCCTTTGGACGAAAAGAGCTCCCAGAGCCACTCCCTGGTCTCTGATGGGGCTGTGTGTCCTCTCCAGGTGCCCTCCCCGACAGCCAGCCCCTCCGCCTCTGCACAAGGGAGGGCCCAGGGAGGCTCAGGGCCTGTGTGGCTGTGTGTGTGTCTCTATGTGTCTGTGTGTCTGTGTGTTTCTGTGTATCTATGTGTGTATGTGAATGTGTATCTGTCCATGTATCTGTGTATATCTGTGTCTGTGTGTGTGTGTATGTCTGTGTCTGTGTGTATATCTGCGTCTGTATGTATATATGCGTGTCTGTGTGTATACGTGTCTGTGTACCTGTGTCTTCGTATGTCTATGTGTGTATTGGTGTGTGTCTGTGTGTGTCCATGTGTGATGACATGTGTATCTGTGTCTATGTGTGCATCTATGTATATCTGTGTGTATGTCTTTGTGTATCTATAGATCTGTGTCTATGTGTATATTATCTCTGTGTTCATCTGAGTATTGTATGTCCATGTGTGTCTACATGTGCCTGTGTCTGTATCTGTGTCTGTCTATGTGTCTATGTGTGTATCTGTGTGTCCGTGTGTGTGTGTCCATATATCTGTCTATGCATGTATCATCTGTGTGTCTGTGTATTGTGTATCCATGCATATATCCGTAACTATGGGTATGTCTGTGTGTGTTTGTGTCCACGTGTGTGTATCTGTGTGTGTCTATATATCTGTGTCTATGTGTGTGTCTGTGTCCACGTGTGTGTATCTGTGTGTGTCTATATATCCGTGTCTGTGTGTATCTGTGTGTATCTATGTGTGCATCTGTGTGTGTCTGTTTTCTCTTTGTTTTTATGGTGTCCACGGATGGGCCGACTGAACCACCAAATTCCTCCTCAGAGCCCAGTAAAGGCACCAGGCGGAAGGGTCTGGCGGAGGGTTGGCCGCTGTCTCCTCACTCCTCAGCGGGGTCCTGTCTTCCGACTTTTGTCTCGCGCCGCCGCAGCCTGTGGACTCCTGGGCCCTCCTCTGAGAGCCTGCGCTGTGCCTGGCCCCGGGCGGAACTTTGAACGAGGCTCCTGTCTTAACTCGACTGCTTGTGCTTGGGGGAGATAAACAATAAACAGGAGCAGAAGAAAGTGTCCTCAGACCACGGCGGGTGCTGTTGGGAAAACAGTGGCGGGGCAGGGAGGGGGGCGCTTCTGAAGGACCTGGCGAGGTAGAGGCCACTGTTCTAAGAGGCAACAGACGAGATGAACCAGGACCCTCTGCGAGGGAGGGAGGCGTCCAGGGGTGCACACGGGTCCAGATAGCTGCCGGGCTCCCAAAAACCACTCTGGGGGTGAGGATGGGAGGGGAGAGGAGTTGGGGGCAGGAGGCAAGTGAAAGTAAGTGCCCAGGGAACCTCCATGAGGCCCCCCACACCGGATAATAGTGTTCCATGGGGTCTGCTCAGCCCCATGTCTGCCCCAAGACACTAGCCACAGCTCTGCGTCGAGGTCCTGTAGACCACGGGAGAGATGGGGGGGCCAGGAGCCTATAGAACTCCAAGTCCAAGGGGACCCTTGCTGGGAGAACACAGGCCAAGACCTTCCTTCCTGCCACAGGCTTCTGTCCCTGCTGTCTGCTCCCCCAGGACTCCCCCCACACCCGGGATCTTCCTCCTCACCCTCCTTGGCCTCTCTCAGTGACCCTGTCTACACACAGATGTGCTGTCCATGTGAGTGGAAGGAAGGAAGGATGAGGTCCACTCACAGGGGTGAAGCTGTCTCCTGAGGGGGCAGCCCACCTCCAGGTCACACCGCCCCACCCAACACAGCCTCCAGTCCAGCTCCAGGTGGGCCGCACCCAGCCCTTCACTCACTTCAAATGGCCCAAGACGCATGGATTCCACTGGCCAGCCGGACTGGAACAACTTCTCCCCTTATAAGTATCTAGTGGGTGCCCACGGAATGCCAGGCAATGGGCCAGGCTCAGAGATGAGTGATTCCTCAGGAACAATGGGCTCAACGCCCTTAATTCACATCAGAGGAAACTGAGGCTCAGAGAGGGCGGAGAGGGCCCTGGTAACACAGCCAGCCGGTGAAAGTAAGAGGGGGGGCCCAGGCCCTGCTCCCGGCCCACCCGCCTGGGCTTGCTGGCGAGGCTGCTGGCCCAGGCAGTCTGGGCACTGTGGAAGCAGCCGGCTTGAGGCACAGGGGATGTGGCCTCCTCCCACACACTTACCTCCCTGACTACATCTTAGGCTGACATCCAGATTAACTCATATTCCCTACAGGGAGCTGCACGGCCAGAAGCTGCTGGTTGCAGAAGCCACCAGCTGGTTGTACAAGCACCGCTCCCCTGGTTGTGGGTGACAGATGAGATGCACTCACGTGAACACACATGCATGTGCACACACACATGCACACAGACGCACACACAAACACACACAGGCATACACACGCACACGCACATCCACACACACACATGCGCACACACACGCACACGCCTGCACTCACACACCCCCGTCGGCCCCAAGCAGGAAGGCGCCCCCGGCACACCAGCCCCTCTCAGCGCCCCCAGCGGGCCCGGCGCCTGGAGGGTTAAGGCGGGCGCGTCCCGCGGGTGGGCGGGGGGGGGGGGACGGGACCGGTGCCGGGAGCTCCGCTGCCCTGGCGTCCCCTGGGTCCAGGCCCAGTCGCTCCTTGGGCCTCTCTCGCGGGGCCGCCTCCGCCTCCTCCTTGCCGAGACGGGCGTGGGGCACGGGGTCGCCGCCCGGCGGGGAGCTCATCCGGCGGCGCAGACGCCCCGCGGCTCCGGGGAGGGACTTGGCCTGGGCCCCGGCCCCGCGCTCCTCTGGGGAGGAGCCGAGAGGCTGCAGCTGGCGGCGGCGGCCCCGGGCGGGAGGGGGTCCCAGGAAGCGGCCAGGCCGGAGCCCCCCACTCGGCCGCAGCTGCTGGCCTGGCCAGAACCGAGCGCGCCCTCCCGGTCTCCGCCGCTTCCCTCTGCAAACCGCGGGCAGGAGGAGCCCTCTCCTTAGCGGGCCCGGAGCTCAGAGGCGTCGCGGGGCGCGGCCGAGGGGAGGAGGAAGGAGAGCGGGAGCGCAGCCGGCCCGGGCCCAGCCGTGACTCGTGGGGCGGCGGCTCCGCCAATCTGTGGGCGCTGACGCGGGGGGCGGCTCCGCGGCGCTCGATATCTGCCCGCCCGGGACGCGGGGCGCCGAGAGGCTCGGCCAGGCGGGAGCTGCGCTCGGGGCGGCCGCTGCACCTGCCCGGGACCCCGCCGGCCGCTCCCCGCGCCCACCCCTTCCGCCCTTCGCCCCCCCCTTCCCCCCAGCCCCGGTCTCCCGGGCGCGGCGTGAGAGCAGAGCCCGGCCCGGAGGAGCCGCCCCTTCCCCGCCCGCCCGCCCGGCGCCTGGAGAGGAGCGCGCTGAGGATCGGGACGCCTGCGGCCGCCGCCACCGCCCAGGCCCGTCGCGCCCCGGCCGGGATGGACCCACACGCCCGATGAGCCCCGCGCCGGCGGCTGCGAGCGCCGAGCCTCCCCCTGCTGCGGCCCCAGCCGCCCCCCGCGCGCCCGGCTCCGCGGACCAGGACCCCTGGGCTCCCCGGCTGAGGGCGCGGCCGCTCCGGAGAGGCCGAGCGGGGACGGGCCCGAGATGGCGCGGGGACCCAGCGCTCCGGCGGCGGGCGCCCTGCACGCGGCCCGGGCCCGGGGACAGCCCCGGAGCTGGTAGCCGCCCGGCACCGATGGACCTTGACCCGCGAGGCGGCGCCGCGCTCGTGCCCAGCTGCAGCTAGAGGGGCGCGCGGGCAGAACGCGCTCCAGGCCCGGGCCGGCCCGCGCGGCCATGAAGATGATGCTGGTGCGCCGGTTCCGCGTGCTCATCCTGATGGTGTTCCTGGTGGCCTGCGCGCTGCACATCGCCCTGGACCTGCTGCCCAGGCTGGAGCGACGCGGCGCGCGGCCCTCGGGGGAGCCCGGCTGTTCGTGCGCGCAGCCCGCCGCCGAGGTGGCCGCGCCCGGCTGGGCCCAGGTTCGGGGCCGCCCCGGGGAGCCCCCGGCCGCCTCCTCCGCCGCCGGCGACGCGGGCTGGCCCAACAAGCACACGCTCCGCATCCTGCAGGACTTCAGCTCCGACCCCTCCTCCAACCTCTCGTCCCACTCGCTGGAGAAACTGCCGCCCGCGGCCGAGCCGGCCGAGCGCGCCTTGCGGGGGCGGGATCCCGGCGCCCTAAGACCCCACGACCCCGCGCACCGGCCGCTGCTGCGAGACCCCGGCCCGCGTCGGTCCGAGTCGCCCCCCGGCCCCGGCGGAGACGCCTCCCTCCTGGCCAGGCTGTTCGAGCACCCGCTTTACCGGGTGGCGGTTCCGCCGCTCACGGAGGAGGACGTCCTGTTCAATGTGAACAGCGACACCAGGCTCAGCCCCAAAGCGGCGGAGAACCCGGACTGGTGAGTGGGGGCTGGCAGGTGCCCACCCCCAAGGGAGCCGTGAGCCCAAGGCATGGTGTAGAGAGGTTCAGGGGCCCCAGAGGGCCGCCCCCCATGGAAGAGGCCGGGCAGGGAGTGTGGTGCGGGAGGAGGCAGCCGCCTACCTCAGGGCGCTGCCTTTGTCTCCAGAATAACCTCCTCCTTGGGAGGGGCTGCCGGCTGGTCCGGGAGCTGTGCCCTGTGGCTGCTGGTGAGGAAGCCAGACCCCGCGCCCTTTAGAAGCGAGTCCTGACCAGCCGTGGTCACCAGCTTGGGAAATGGGGTCAGGCAATGAATGAATGAGTTGGTGAGGGAAGGAGCCAGGCTGCCGCTGGGCTTTCAGACACTTGGCGAGGGTGCTCTGGGTGGGCACCTTGGAGAAGGTCTGGATGTGCCTATTGAGTCTTTTAAACCCAGTGGCTGGAGCAGAATTATCAGAGGGGCTTGCTGGCAGCCGTGAGGTGCAACAAGGCGGCCCAGCCAGCAAGGGCGGTGGGTGTGCTGGCTGCAAAGAGATGATGGCTCGATAAAGGGCGAGAAGCCACGGCAGGAACCTCTCTTTAAACTGTCCTGGCTAAGCCCTTTCCCCACCCCCCGGCCCCTCCCTCCGCCACACAGATCAAAACAAGCAGATGCTACACCGAAGCAGTGGAACATTAACCACGACAAGGCCAGAATAAGTAACTACCTGCCGAAGGTTACCCCAGCAGCAGAGGGGGAGACCAGCCTTCCAAAAGATCTGGTTGAAAGTCCCTTCTTCCCTGAAATGTCCAGGCCCAGTGTCTTCTGTCTAAACACACTGGCTGTTTGGAAGCCTCTGAGCCTTGCCTGCTGGTCAGGTTCAAGGAAATGCTTGGAAATTTGAGAACCAGAGCATTGGCCTGGGCTGTGGCTCTCGGCAGGGAGAGACGGCCGCCCAGAGCAGCGAGTGGCCAGGAAGTGTATCCTAGCCCCCCACCCCGCCCCCGTGTCCACCGCAGGACAGAGCTTCGGCAGAAAGCACCTCAGCTTTAGGTGAATTCGAGCTAGGACAAGTTCCGCGTTTCCCTCCAGCCCAGCAGGCAGACGGAGGGTCTGTCCCTCCTCCAGAACGGTCCCTTGACCCCAGAGATGTGAGGACAGGCTGCGTGGGCGGCGGGTCCTCCATGGGAGCCTGGGCTGGAGAGAGTGCTGCCTCCTTCCTCTCTCCCCACCCAAGGCTGCTCTCATTAAAATCAAATTTAGCCTCTTGCATCATTGTGCCCCTGGTTGTTGGAACAAAAGCAGAGAGCTGGGGAAGGTTCCTGACAGACTGGGCGTGTCTGTGAGTTTCATGCAGCCTGTGGTCAATGGTAGGTTCTCCCCTCTACTCCAGGGGAGGGCCACAGCCCCTCGCACCCTCAGCTGAGGTCATGGTTGGGCCATTTCGGTGACCCTGGGACAGACGTGGCGGGGATGGCAGGGCAGCGCTGACGTCCTGGAATTAGTTTTGCTGTAGTTAGAGCTGTCTGTGGTGTCTCCAGAGGGTGAGTAAGAATTACAGGCCTTTCACCGTGTTATTAGTTGGCAGCCGAGCGGCCACAGAAGAAAGCGCAGACGTTGCAGGGCCCTCTTTAAGCAGAGGCGCCTTCAACACATCTGCACTTGCTTGAACCCAAAGTTAAAAACACTGGCGTCGGTGCCCTCTCCCCGTCATCCGACTCACGGGCCTGTTCTTTCCATGCTGATGTTCGTCCTCGCTGCTCCCTGCAGGCCGCATGCGGGTGCTGAAGGTGCAGAATTCCTCTCCCCCGGGGAGGCGGCCGTGGACTCCTATCCCAACTGGCTCAAGTTCCACATTGGTATCAACCGGTACGAGCTGTACTCCAGACACAACCCGGCCATCGAGGCCCTGCTGCACGACCTCAGCTCCCAGAGGATCACCAGCGTGGGTAGGTGTCCTTGGGTGCACTCAGGGCCGTCTGTGTGCCGGCTGTGTGGCATCAGGGCTGCTGGGGCAGGCTATGTGTTAGAGAGGTCTGGGAGGCCGTTGCTCATTACGGCAGCGTCACCTCCTGCAGCAATCTGCACGGGCAGCGAGGAGGGACAGAGGGCTCGCGTCTCGTGTGCTCTCACACTGGATGTGCTCCTGATCTGCCGCACGATGAGCGGGGAGACGCCTGGACAGCCGGTCCACTGCGCTCTGCGTCCTCACCTGGGTGGTCCCGGGGGTGCCAACTGGATGACAGAGTCCTTCCCTCCTGGGGTAGAGGAATAGAGGGGTATCTCTGGCGGCGGTGACCCCTCCACCGGAAGCGTGTGCATGGAACTCTCCTGCTTTTCTACACACGACCCTGGCTGGGTGGGGAGACAGCCATGAGCCTGCTTCTTGTGGTTTTGAAGCCGTCCTTCGTCAGACCTCAGCAAGGCGCTGTGCAGTTTCATACTGAGGAGACATAGGCAGGGCTCAGGACGGAGGCCTGGGCCTCCCAGATGGAGGAGTTTGAAGGCAACATCTCCAGGTACTTTGGGATCTGCTGAATTGGACAAAAAAGGGCATCCAGTTGCTGATTTCAGGAAAATATGCCACTGCAGCTTCTGAGCGTGGAGGTTTGGTGCCATTGTTCTCAGCTTGTAGGCGATTGTTTGTGAAGGTCCCATTTGTCACCAGTGCTTGGAGAGGTAGTGAGGGCGGGGCTGAGGCCCTTTAGTGGGAGCAGCTGCTCCCCGGGGATTGCAGGGAGTGGGCCTGGGTGCACACAGCTGTGGGCAGGTGCAGAGGCCATGACAGCCTGAAGGCAGGGCTTTCTTTGCGCTGTGTGATGAGGCCAGCAGTCCCAGGCATTAGCTTCATGTGTGTCTCAGAAGCAACCTTGGTGCTGAAAGGGTCCCAGCAGCCTGGGGTTCTGTCCAGTTGCTGACACAGGACTTAGGTGTCCCCTTTCAGGCCAGCAGGTAGGTTCTCCTGAGCTCTTCGGGGCTGTTTCTGGCTCTCTCTGCCGGGTGCTGAGTTGTTTGCTGGGCACTCACCTGGTCATGGGGAGACAGAACTTGCAGCTCTCTCCCCACCCCTTGATCAGCTCACCTCATAACAGAGATCAGCTGGACAAGCTGGGAGTCCTCTTCCCTCCATGCTGCCTGGGAGTAACCTGAACCCCTGCCCCCCTCCAGGCCCCCCTCCGTGAAAGCGCTGCCTTTCTCCTGCCCCTGCAGCGGTCTGAGGGCTTTCAGCTGTGCTGGGGAACAGTCCTGCAGACAGCCACAGCCAGAACGTCCCTTCTGCCCCTGAGAGTGAGCATGGCCATTAAGGAAATATCCGATGCATTGATCAACATGTTTGTCCATTCAGCAGATTTTACTGGCACCTCCTGCATGTCAGACCCCCTTTCTGGGTGGTGGGGAGTTGAGGATGAGTTCAGCCTCAACGAGATCTGCTGCCTCTGTGGACCTGACAGCCCCAGGAAGAGACACACACGCACAGTGCCCGATCCTGAGGAGGAACGAGCACTTCAGAGCCGTGCACGCCAGCCAGGCCGTGTGGAGAGGAGGGGGCTCCACTGGGAGGGGCTGAGGACCTTCCACAGGGTCTGTCGGGCAGCTTACCTTCCAGGTGGGTCCGTCTTGGCAGGGAGAGGAATGAGAGAGCCGTGCACACCAGCCAGGGCGTTCGGGAGGAGCAGCACGCAAGTTAGAAAGTCCCCAGTGCCGCTGTCCGTATGAGCTTCTCTCCAGCTCATTTTCCCCATCTGTCCAGTGGGATCTCGCTGCGTGGGACCAATGCAAGGATAGGATGAGATGTGCATGTGAGCAAGCTTGTTAAATATTAACTAGTACTTTGTGCGTGGCCTTCCACAACAGTCCCCTCGTGTGCACAGGCAGGGTCTGAGCAGAGGGAGGGCTTTGTGGATTCCAAAGGCCACCAGGCCCTTGGCAGGCAACTGCAGCTCGCCACCTCCCTCACCGACCGGTCAGCTTTCCAACACCAACACTGAAGAGGTGTGGGAGTTCTGTGCCAGGAGCTCCCAGAGCAGCTTCAGGGAGAGTGTGGGGCCCCCTGGGACCTGGGGCATCTTTGCCCACCTTAGGAGTGCTTTGTCCATCTGGACAAGCTAGGCTTGGCTCACTGCCACCCCTCTTTGGTCCAGCTGTCCCGGGGCAGTGGTGCCCAGGCTGCCTGACATTGCAGGGGTGTGGACAGAGCCCTTGCCAGGGAATCCCTACCCCAGGATTCTGGTGTGGCCTCCGCCTGGGTGTGTCCTGGTTAATTCCTGTGCCTACTGAAGGCCTGCCCCAGCTGATCTCGCTCGCTCGCCTCCTAGACCATGCTGGCCACATTGGTTCTCATCCAGTCTTCTGGGGTGGGGACCCGTCCAAGGACAGGCTGGCTGCTCAGTCATTCTGCAGGGCCAAGCAGGGCCTGCAAGGACGATGGGCAGACACAGCCGCATCACCCAGGCAGGACAGCAGGCTCTGGCCCAGGAGATCTGGGGGTGAATCCTGGCTCTGCCAGCCATTAGCCAGAGTGGAAGTGGGCAAATGGATTAACGCCTCCAGCACCTGGTTTCTCACCGAGAACACAGAGAAGGTTATAATCTGGACCTGGTATAATCTGGACTCTGACTTACAAATCTGAATGCCAAGCAAAACCCATTCACTAGCGAAAACTGACTCAGGCTGAACGTATTTAGGGGCAAAACCTAAATTGTCGAGGCTAGTTAAAAGTCCTGATTTTTCTCTGTTACATTGAATAGTCACATGTTCCTCTGAG